>NC_000001.11:241032606-241184121 GCF_000001405.40 Homo sapiens | reverse complement strand
TTATTTCTCTACTTTTCCTGGTATAAGCTTCCTTTCTCTGTTGTTGATGGGTGCAAAGTTGCATGAAAATGCCTCGCCTTTGCTTCCAGGATCCACAGGTGAGCTACTCTCAGAGGGTAGTTCTGACTCCCATCGACTCCTGTTCTGTCCATCTGCCCAACAGGGTGTTGCTGTCACTTCCTTTAGCTGCTGCTGTCTCTTTCCTGACGATAATGCCACCAATGTGCTTTGAATGCCTAAGAGATGCCAGGTTCTCTGATGTCCTTCGTGTGCCAAGGCGGTACAGAAGTAGAGGGAATACCCCTCTCTCCTTACTGTTTACTTTTCCAAATGTTTCCCATGTGGCCCTACAGTGCATTCCACTGTTTTACTACATAGAGCCTCTTTCTCTTACTCTCTTACTAGAATTCAGGTGGGAATATGTGGGAGGCCTAGACTGGAAAACAGATTTGAACTCATAGAAGCATGTCTCTTCTCTATAGTATAAGTTTTGTACTTGACCCAGTTTGACTCCTTTTTCTCTGAGAGTGACTTTTCCGCACAGGAGACTTTTCAATACCATGTGTATGTAGATAGACTTCTTGTAGACCTGACCCACCCATCTACTTGATATATCTAGACTGTTGAATTCCAGGGGAAATGTCAGCTGCGAGACAGAGCATGATTTATTGTACTTTGGGTATCTACAGGGCCTGTTTAGTTATTTGCAATAGTATGGGCCAGGCCAGAAAGGTTCTAGTCCTGCCTATTCAGATGGAGCACGTGGTGACTGAGCTGAGCCTTTTGCAGGTGCTGATAGTGGGAATTGAGTGCCATAGATAGGCACGCAACCAAATCATACTGCAATCATTTATGCGGGGAAACAATTAGTAATGGAAATTTTCAGAAGAAATAGTGTAATAGGGTATCTTACCACATGAACGAAGTTCAAGGATTGAGAGGTGGGACATGGTCTACTTGTATGTCCAAGCAATGAGAGTGGTATTTGGGCGATCTCTAATGAGGAGAAGAACCCAGCCAGCAGACTGTGTTCTGAGTCTGGGCTTCAGGCTCTGGATAAGGGACTAGCAAGCACACAGCAGGACCCAGAGGATTACCAAAATGAAAGCAAATAAATGTGGACCAGAGCACGGTATGTATGCATTTTTCCATTCTTTCTTTAAGAAAAAAAAAAAAAGAAAAACGTTTGGGAGGCTGAGGCGGGTGGATCACCTGAGGTCAGGAGTTTGAGACCAGCCTGGCCAACATGGTGAAACCCTGTCTCTACTAAAACAAACAAACAAACAAACAAACAAAAACCGAAAAATTAACCCGGTATGGTAGCATGTGCCTGTAATCCCAGCTACTCGGGAGGCTGAGGCAGGAGAATCACTGGAACCCGCAAGGCGGAGGTTGCACTGAGCCGAGATCACATCACTGCACTCCAGCCTGGTGACAGAGCGAGACTCTGTCTCAAAAAAAAAAAAAAAAAAAGCGTGAGATGCCGGGTTAGGAAGAAGCCAGTTCATAAGACCTGGAAAAACTAAGGCTCAGGAACGGGATGAATACTCAATTTTCAAAACGGAGGCACAATACCCAGGTCAGAATAGTAGCAAGTATAGCTCTATGCTGGCACCTGAGCGTGTGAATTATCATTTAGAAAACATTCATAGCCACACTAACATTGACGGAGCTGGGGGTTGTGTGTCCCAAATGCTTTGTAAGCCATGACTTCATTCAATTCTCTCAGTTGCCTGGTGAGGTGCATACTGTCTCCATTTTTAGAGCAAAAGTGAGTGATTATCACAGCTGTGACAAATGGAGTATGATTTTTTATTCTTTGGAGTCCTATGGGGCATGCTTTGTTATTTACAACAAGATGGGCTGGGCCAGAAAGGTCCTAGTCCTGTCTGCTGAGGTAGAGCGGACAGTAGCTGAGCTGTGCCTATTGCGCATGGTGATGGCAGGGATCCAGTTCAGGGACGTGAATGGACTTAGTCAAGGACCCAGAATTAGCACGGGACCAACAGAGAGCAAGAATTCCAACCCAGCCCTTCTTAGGCAAATGTTCCTGCTTTTCTTACATCACAATGCTATAGGTTGTGACTCTGCACGGTACTGATGCTTCCTGATCTGTTAAGATAGAGAGCAGGCCAGGAATGGCTCACATCTGTAATTCCAGCACTTTGGGGGGCAGGAGGATTGTTTGATGCCAGGAATTTGAGACTAGCCTGGGCAACAAAGCAAGACCCTGTCTCTACAGAAAAATTTTAAAAATTAGCTCAGCATAGTGGTTTGCACCTGTAGTCCCAGCTACTTGGGAGGCTGAGGTGGGAGGATTGTTAGAGCCCAGGAGGTGGAGGTTGCAGTGAGTCATAATCATGCCACTGCACTCCAGCCCCAGTGACAGAGCCAGACCCAGTGTCTAAAACAAAAAACAAAGAGACCATTATTTGCTCCCTCCCTGTATAGCCTTGGAAGAAATGTTTCCTGAGTTCTGATGCTTCCTTCCTAGCATTCTTCTGTATCCTCCTGTAACATCTGGCCACCATCAGTATAACTTCTAGCAGCTCTGACCTTTAATTCCAGTCAGCAGCTTTTGATCTGCTGTATGCTAAGAAACAGGATCAGAGTAATAGCTGGCATTTATTGAACATTGACTATTTAGGAAGCTCTGTGCTGTCCTTTACATATTTATCGCATTTAATTATTACTACTCTATGGCCGAAGTACTGTTCTTTTATGATTGTTTTAAATGTATTTTATTTTTTAGAGCAATTTTAAGATCACGATAAAATTCAGGAGAAGCTATAAAGACTTCTCCTATACCCCGTATCCGTATATGTACATAATCTCCCCCATTAGCAACATACTCCACCAGAGAGGTACACTTTTTTCAATTAATGAACCTACATAGAGGCATCATTATCACCCAAGGTCCATGGTTTACATTAGGGTTCCCTCTTGGTGTTGTACATTCTATAGTTTGGGCAAATTTACACTGACGTGTGTCCACCGTTATAGAATCATACGAGGTAGTTTCATTGCCTTAAAAATCCTCTGTGCTCTGCCGATTCATCCATCCCTCTCCTCTAACCCCTGACAACCACTAATCATTTTATTGTCTCCATATTTTTGCCTTTATCCAGAATGTTATGTAGTTGGAATCATACAGTAGGTAGCCTTTTTGGATTGGCTTCCTTCACTTACTAACATGCATTGGAGTTTCCGGAGACACTGTTCTTCCCAATTTATAGATGATGAAATAAAGTCTGAGAAAGCTGAAATGCCTTGCCTACAATCACACAAATAGTGAATGACAGGTATGTCTGGAGAGCTCTTGACTCCCGTGCGCTGCTGTCCTATCCATGGCAAGGACACACATCAAATTCACAGCAGAGTCAGGAGTTCTGAAACCCTTTGACTCTTGATCTAGTGCTCCTCTACAACGCCATTCTGTGTGTCAAAGGACATCTTATTATAATAGAAGAGTAATTACAGGGATAGAAAATGTATTCTCTGTTTGGAAACACTGTCCCACATGGAAGCTGTTCTCTAGAGATGCACTGTTCAGCATTATACTTCTTTGTAGTTGCCATACAATGAGAAACAGGTGTCAAGGTGGGTTTCTCACATAAAATAGTCTAGGACTGATAATTTTTTATTTTGAGGAAGAACAAAACACACACATACTTTATGTTACTCTGTTTATCCTTCACTTTCTGTGTTTTTTGTTGTTGTTGTTGTTTTGTTTTTTTGGTTTTTTTTGAGATGGAGTCTCGCTCTGTTGCCCAGGCTGGAGTGCAGTGGCGCCATCTCAGCTCACTGCAATCTCCGCCTCCCGGGTTCACGCCATTCTCCTGCCTCAGCCTCCCGAGTAGCTGAGACTACAGGCACCCGCCACCAGGCCCGGCTAATTTTTTGTATTTTTAGTAGAGAGAGACAGGGTTTCACTGTGTTAACCATGATGGTCTCGATCTGACCTCGTGATCCGCCTGCCTCGGCTTCCCAAAGTGCTGGGATGACAGGTGTGAGCCACCGCGCCCGGCCCACTTTCTGTGTTTATCAGAGATTCCACTGAAGATTCATATCCATCTCATACCTGGCCCACATCAATAGCTGTCAATTCTATAGAACCTCATAACATTTCGTTTTTCTCATTTCAATGTCTAACTATTAGTTAGCTTTTCATGTTATGAAAAGCATCTACCCAACTAGATTTTAGGACTCTTTAAGATCAGGAAGTATGTCTTTTATTTTTCAGTGCCTATCAAAGTGCCTCATGTGTGTATGATTTTATGTATATTTGCCAAGTACCCTATCACTAAAACTAAAATGTACTAATGTTTATGGCAACTCTTGGTAAACTATTTCTTGGAAGTCAACAGGCTGTGATGTTATATTTTCATGGAATTTTGTGGAGAATTGGACTAATAGGCTTTTTAGACTGACTGGGTATTATTACATTTCCCTCTACAATTACTGTGCAGAGGGAAACTGTAGGTCACATGTTGTCCATCCGAATCTGTGCAGTAATTAATCATGAGCTTGTGGGGACTAAATATGCAGTAAATATTATGAATAACAAGGGGTCCTTGGAGCTAGACTGTGATTTAGTGGAGATGTTCTGCCTGTGAGACTTCACTTAGTCGCCAGCTGCCTGTTTTCAGCATGTCCAATGGGAGGGCTAATCTCTTAACACTGACTGATTAATGATTAAATCACTTTATCAGCCAAAGTTTAAAAAATCTGCCTGGTGGCTCACACCTGGAATCCCAGCACTTTGGGGGCCGAGGCGGAAGGATCACTTGAGGTCAGGAGTTCGAGACCAGCCTGGCCAACATGGTGAAACCCCGTCTCTATTTAAAATGCACAAAAAAATTAGCTGGGCATGGTGGTGCATGCCTGTAATCCCAGTTACTTGGAAGGCTGAAGCAGGAGAATTGCTTGAACCCGGGAGGTGGAGGTTGTAGGTAGTCGATATTGTGCCACTGCACTCCAATCTGGGCCACAGAGTGAGACTCTGTCTCAAAACAAACAAACAAACATACTAAACATTAAACTATTGTTTGATTGAACATATCAGGCACGTGCCCACCATGATAGAGCTTACAATTCAGTAGAAGTACAGCCAGTGCAGGCACCATGATGGAAGATAATTAGCATGTGTCTTTAGGCTGGGCTACAGTGTAATAAGCCCTTTAGTATCTTACACAGTGAACACTGAAAGTATATAGCACAGTTTGGCTGCATATCAATCTTACAATAGGATCTATAACTGATGCACAAGTTATAAATGGAAATGGTAATTGATAAAATGTTTCTATAATCCCACACATCTTGAGTAAATAAACTGATTACATTTTAACTGCATTCTGGTATCGTATCAAACCTGATATGTAGTTTTTGGAAACAATATCAAAACAAAGGAAACAGATACCTTTGAAGGAGCTCAAAACTGCCTTTATCTTAGGCAACATGTCACCTAGTAATTGGCTTTAATCACTCTCTCTATCCTGTTGACCATGTCCTCCTTCCTGAAACAACACTTTCTTTTCTTGGCTTCTGTGTTCTTGTACCCTTTTGGTTTTCCTTCTACTTTCTTGGTCCTTGCTGACTGTTCACCTTCTACGAACCTACAGGTGCTGAATGAACTCCCTGGGTTTACTCTTGGGCCCTGGTTGTTTCTCTATGTTTAATCTCTCCCTGAGTGATCACAGCTGGTTCTATGGCTTCAAATGCATCCAAATTTTTACGATTCCCAAATTTATGTCTCTAACCCTCAGCGATCTCAACTGTCTCCTAGAATCTTTTCTTTTTCTTTTTTCTTTTTTACTTTTTCATTTTTTTAGAGACAGGGTCTTGCTTTGTTGCCCAGGCTGGAGTGCAGTGGCACCATCCTAGCTTATTGCAATCTCAAATGCCTGGGCTCAAGTTATCCTCCTACCTCAGTCTCTCAAATAGCTGGGACTACAGATGCCTGTCACTGCACCCAACTAATTTTTTTTCTATCTTTTTTGTAGAGACAGGGTCTCACTATATTGCCCAGGCTTTTCTTGAACTCCTGGCCTCGAGCAAACCTCCTGCCTTGGCCTTCCAAAGTGCTGGGCTTACAGGAATGAGCCACTGTGCCTTTCCTGTCCTAGACTCCTGACTTATGTATCCAACTACCTAATTCACATATCTGTCTTTTTACCAGTAAGCATCTCAAACATAAGGCAACTCAGTTGGACCTCTGGATTCTTCTCGACCCTCCTTTTCCTCCCCACTTTTCCCTGACTCAGCAAATGACACTTTCCAATCAGTTGTTTAAGCTTAAGACTAAGACCTAGTAATTATCTTTAATCACTCTCTCTTTCTCCATTCCCACCTCCCTTTCAGTCAACTAGGAAGTCTTGTTGTCTTTGTCTCCAAAAATGTATCTTGAATCTGCTCATTCCTCTACCTCCCCATTGCCACCTTTAGTCAAAACCACCAGGCTTTTTCACCTAAACTTCTGCAGTACCCAATTGAGTGTTCTCTCTGTCTCCACATTTGCTTCTGTGCTATTCATTCTGCACTCAACATGCACAGTCCTATTTTAATACTATTAATATCACTAGTCGCATCACTGTTTATAACCCTCAAGGGGCTTCTTATATTTACAATAAAACCCAAATTTATAAATACGGCCCTAGATGATCTGGCCAGTGGGGCCCCCTTTACTTCCATTTTCTGTTGTACATGCCATCCCTGTCTACGCTCCAGGCTCCTGTTCCTTATTTTCCTTGAACATGGGAAACACATTCCCTGCCTTGAGGCTTTTATACTTGCTGAACTCTCTCCATCAGATGTGCTTGCCTGGCCCTTTGCACGCTGGCTTCTTCTCGTCACTCCAGTGTCTGCTCACACATCACCTCTTCAGGGAGGCCTTCCTTGGCAAGCTCTGTGGAGTAGCCTACTGCTCTGTTACTTTATGACCTGATCTGATTTTACTTTCACAGACATTTTATTATCTCTTGATTGTTACAGGTGTCTTTCCTCCTGCCCTAGAATGTAAGACTCTTGAGGGCAGGGCACTTGTTCATATTGTTCATGGTTCTCATCCAAGTCAATCAAGCAGAGCACACAGCAGGTGCTCAGTAAATGCTTCTTGCATAAACAGTTTTGCTCCATGCGTGGCCTTAGGAGTCCGCTTCAGTTTTTCACTTTGGTGAGACGGTGACATATCAATTTTACTCATGGCCATTTTAGTGCTGGAAAGGCAGAAATGTCCTTTTGCTGAAGAGTGCCTCACGTCCAACCTCAGTATTTCTGAGGAGGAAAGCAGCACAGGAGGCTATCAGAGGAGCCCACCATGAGGCCTTGGTCTTCTGTTTGTCCATCTTTCCCTCAGGTCATAAGTCTTCAGAGCAGAGTCTGTTTCCTCATAAAGTTAATATTACAGTCAGCCATATCCAAGGCCCACCATTTCCTGTAATGGGGGTGACTGCAGAATGTGTGAGCTTTGACTACCCCAAATGCAGCATCTTTATGTAAAAATATAAGCCCCAGTGCCTTCTTTCCTGTGACATTGATTGAGCCCAAATCTCAGACTTTCATTTATTGTTTCCGGGTTTAGGATCCTCAGCCAATTAGAAAACTTTGTAAGACTCTTCTAGGCAACTAAAATGAGTGTAGAGGGAGTGGGGAAATGCACTTGAGGATTCTGGCTCAGAAGACACTGACCCAGAAATAACTATCAGCACTTTTCCCTTCATCCTTGAAGTGGGGGCTTAAGCAAGCAAGCAAACTAGTAACTCAGTTTTTAAAATAATGTCCTGGATAGCTTCGGTCTTTCCAAAGCTCAGCTCTGATCATATCTAACTCCTGTTGAACATTTTCAAGGCTTTCTATGCTTCTCGATCCTATCTTAGGATAATGTTCCAGGACTCTTGACTTCTGGCCACAACTCCCCTTCACAACCTTATCTCCCATATTGTACTTAAAAGGAAGTCATAATAACAAAGGGGACCTGGGAGCAGGCTGCATCTGCTCTGTTACTGTCTAGGCAGATTAGCCAGTTGACTTAAGTGTTCATCATACACTCACAGGACCTCCTCTCATAGAAAGGTGGTAAGTCCGAGGTCCTATTTGTAAAGTGGCTATAGTGATAGTTCTTGCCTTATACTGATAGCACCTACTTTATAGCAGACCAAATAAGATGCTACATGTAAATTACTTGCAAAAAGAATCACTGCTCTTTAAATGTTTAGCTGTTCTTATTCGTTCACTATTCTTCTTAGCTAAATGGGCCTCTGCACTTGTCCCATACATTCCGTCTTGATGTGTTTGATTGTAGCTGTTCCTTTTTCCTGCAATGGTTTTTCCTCCTCTCCAACTATTGCTGCTCCCATCGCTAAATAAAGTTCAGTCTTCGTAGACATCTGATTTTTCCAGGTTTAACTCTGAGTGACAGCTGAAGCCCCTCTCCCTGCTCTGTGGTGGATTTCCCTCCACCATGGCTCTGCACACTCCTTTCTGTGAATGCTTGTATTTTCCTAGTGCCCTCTTATGGTATTTATCATGGTCTGGCTAGCATTCTGGCATTGACACAGATGTCCACTTCCCTTCCTAGTCTCCAAGCATCTTGAGGCCTGCAACAACTCATAAACCTTGGAATAAAGCCTGGTCTTCCCTCTGCAGTGGTTGACCTCTTCTGTATGTGTGGAGTCCTGGGAGACCATTCATGGAGCCTTGACCAAGGAAGCTGGCACTCAGAGAACCAGACAAGTCCCATCCAAATCTGTGATGGCTGAAGTACCTACACTGTAGCAGCGAACTCATCTCCCACCACTGACTTCTAAGCTTTGCTTTCAGTTATGTTATAAAAATGCTAGAGAATGTTATAGCTTCCAATGTGTAATAGGAGACAATGATCCCTTCTCTTTTCTCATATATCTCCCTTCTAAGATTTTCTGTGAGCCAGGAATAGTGGCTCATACCTGTAATCCCAGCACTTTGAGAGGCCAAGGCCAGTGGATCACGAGGTCAGGCATTCGAGACCAGCCTGGCCAACATAGTGAAACCCTGTCTATACAAAAAATACAAAAAATTAGCCAAGCATGGTAGTGGGCGCCTGTAATCCCAGCTACTTAGGAGGCTGAGGCGGGAGAATCACTTGAACCTGGGAGGCGGAGGTTGTAGTGAGCCGAGATTGCGCCACTGCACTCCAGCTCAGGTGACAGTTCGGGACTCCGTCTCAAAAAAAAAAAAAAAAAAAAAAAAACAAAATTCTGTGAATTGGAGTCTAGTAACACATAGAAAACATTTTCGCTTCTGAACACACTAAAAGGAGCTTTATAGTTTGTTTTTAAGTGTTCATCATACACTCACAGGACCACCTCTCATAGAAATACTCCTTCTGATCACAAAGGCATAGGGGAGAAGGAAGCAGTTGTCCCCAGATACGTACTTTTTGCTAACTTTTTGCAAATAGCCCAGTGTTGGGGTGTGTTCTAGCTTTGGATCCACTAGCTGTTTCCTCATGTGTAAAATGATAGCCCCCACATAAAAAGTGTTTGTTAAGGATTAATTAAAATACTTCATAGAAAGCTCACAGCCCAGTGCCTGGCAAACAGAATGATTGAGTTGAGATCTTTAAAAATAAATGTGTGCTTTAGGTGTGACATGCAATGCACTGAGTTCTCAGCAGCATCAGTGCCTCCTCATTCTCATTCTGTGGATCTGAACCAATCAATTTCTTACTTGGTATTGGGAACAGAAGCATTAATCTCTGACAAAATCACACTTTGGACAAAGTCAAGTTTTCTTGTCCTGAAGTTTCTTGCATCCTGATTCTGGTTGTAACACATAGAAACTGCATTTGTGAATCAAGGTGGTGGGGTGCTTCAGTATCTGACTTTTAATTTTTTCAACCTGGGACCTCAAACAAGGCTGCAAGTAGAAAATTGGGTCTTGTCCTAGAACTGCTAAGAATTATTGGGCAAGTTTTCAACCTATTCATGAAAAAGAGCTGTTGCTCATATTTTTCTTTGGTTTATCTCCAGCAGACCTCAAGGTGGATAGCAAGTCCTATAATTCTCATTAAACACAGGAACCCAGCACATTTGGGAATGATTTGCATCTTTGACTGGTCAAACTCTGTATATCATGAGTGTTAGGTTAAAATGCAATCAGAAGCATGAATGGTGCTTTCACACTCATCCTTCTTCCAGGTAAAGTATGGGTAGGTGTGGTAGCTGAGTGTGTCCTGGAAGAATGGGAATATGGGGAAGATTTACTATAAATCTCTGGAATTCTCCAGCTTGACTATGGGAGGGTAGTAAGTGGTGGTAGGGGCAGGAAGCAAAGGTTAGTAATTTTCTTTTTATTTTTTATTTTAGAGACAAGGTCTTGCTCCTTGCCCAGGCTAGAGTACAATGGTGCTATCATGGCTGATTGCAGCCTCAAATTCCTAGGCTCAAGTGATCCTCTTGCCTCAGCTTCCTGAGTAGCTGGGACTACAGACACACAGCACCATGCCCAGCTAATTGTTTTTTGTAAAGACCAGGGTCTCACTGTGTTGCACAGGCTGGTCTTGAACTCCTGGGCTCAAGTAATCCTCCTGCCTTGATCTCCCAAAATTGTAGGATTACAGGTATGAGCCACCGTGTTTGGCAGGTAGTTTTCAGATTACCACTAAAATAGCTGCTCTAAATCCAAACAACCAGTTTCAGACTAATCAATCATGCTTTCTATATGCATTAAAATAAAAACTCTTCACTATTAAATTCCTAAACCATGTTTACATACATTGTGATATTTGATATTTATAACAACTCCATGACCTGAGTAAGACAGGCAAGCCATCTTTATTTGTATAGGAAAAGAAAGTACAATGCAGGCAATCAAAGTATGAAGATTCACTGGAAGAAGTGAGCTAGAGTAGAGGTCAGAGGATGGAGTTCACAGAGTCACAGAGTAGGGCTCAGATCCTAGACCTTCACCTTGGAAACCAGTCACTTTGTTGAGCGATATAAAAACCTATGGGCCTCAGTTTATGCACCTGAAAAATTAGGATAATAATACTGATCATGAATTATTTATTACAAGGAAAATAATTTGGAAACTGTATTGAAGATACCAAGGTGGTCTAATCATGTCTTTAAAAAAAATTGCAATAGCTGCTCTATGCTTTCCTTTATAGTTATGCCAAGCAAATTCCTCGGCTTTCTCTTGTTGCAAAAATTTGAGAGAAAGAAAACCTGACTTCTACAATTATTCTTAAAATTGTTTGCTTTTTGTGTTCCTTAAGAGAGTATTTCAAACTCTTGAGAAAAACAATAGCACAGTTACTGGTAAATCATCTCCACTACTTATTGCATTCTCTTTGAACTTTGAAAATAAAATTTTCTTTCTTGCTGATTTTGTCCTTTTCTACTTTACAGAAACAGATGACTCATTTCTCAAGGGTTAAAGATGGCAACAATTTAAAGTTTTCAAAGTCACAAGCAAATTAACTGACATCAAAATCAAGGCTGACTTTAGACACACAGCCAGATTTGTTTTGTCTTTGGGCTATCAATTCAAAGCCTGGACAATTCTTTCTAATGTGAGGCCAATTTGCTATCCCCCTAGCCTTAAACTATGAATGGTATCTTGGTTTAGTCTGTGAGTTTAAAAAAAAGGTATAAATTCCAATAGCTGTTTCATGCTGTTCTTTGCCCTCCTAGTCCTGTTAGCTAATGGATTTTAAGATGCTCTTATTTTTTTCCTGAGTGACTGTAATTATTTCAAATATTGAACATAATACTTCTCTTATTTTACTATTTTACTATTTTTCTTTTGCATTTTCCTCATCCAAGTCGGTGTGTTCATTCATCCAAAAGCATAATCAGTGATGCCAAGAAAAACTCTGGATTTTAGATTGCCACGTGTGCTGTGCCTTTTTTAAAAAAAGAATAACTTGGCAGAATTAGGAAACAGAAGACAAAAATCAAAAAGTGCCTTGACAACACAGAATGACTGCATAAACAATGGGAATCATGGAAAGGCAGCTTCTCATGTAATCTCTGGCAGAGAAATGCTATGTTGCTAAGGACTTGTCTGAGCATAATCAGCTCACTTAACCTTTCTATTCCACAGTTTTCCATTTATTAAATTGTGAAAGTAATGCTCTTCTTTTTGGGTCGTTAAGTGGAATTTTTTAAGAAGAGCACAGACACTAAATCTACACAATATCAAACAGCCCATTGAAGAAAGAAACAGAGTCAGTCCTTTTGTTTCTCCACAGGATGCGTTAGCTCTGACTGATTTGATTTTTTTGTTTTGTTTTGTTTTTTCACCTGCTGAACTGAGAGATGAACAAAAAATTACAAAGTCATTTAAAGTATCTGGTTATGTGAGGAACATACAGAGAAAGCTGGAGTTCTTCCCATTCGTGGACCTGTGTCACTCACGGATAGGGTACCGACTTAATCCATCTATCTCTCAAAATACCCGAAGTATTCCCTGGTGTAATTAAATGGCAGGTAGTATTTCATTGTAAAGTGAGTTAAAGTCCTCTAGGAATCACTTGTTACTAGAAAATCCACCTCCAGAAAAATTTTGAATCATGTTATAATTGTAGATTTACAGGATTACCTAAACTGTCTGCCATTTTATTTTATGAAACGTGGGTCATATGAATGCTCAATAAATGAGTCTATTGAATTAATAGATGGATAAATGAAAGAGCATTTATAGGAGTTAAAAGAACTGGGTGACTTACATGACTAAGGTTAAGTGACTGTGTCAGTTGCTTCAGTGGCACAATGGAAACAATGTCTGCCTTATGGAATTATGCTGAGAAATTAGGAAAAAACTTTAGAGACCACTATCAACTATTTAAATGTAATGTGATTTTTTTTTAGTATGTTGGCATTTTATTTTTCCAACATTATGAACAAATGACATATTTGATGAATGAAATTTTGAAACGGTCACCTATTTAGGTAGTATTTAAAGATAACTCATTGGACAGAAAGATTTCTAAATATGGTATGTTTCTTTCCGTTTTAAATAGAACATAATGAACATAATTGAACCTTACTTTAATGACTCATGGCTATTATCACAAAGTGTGCAGCAAAGCAATAATTTTTTTCCTGATGATTAAAGTTTATAGGACTGATAGCTCCTACACTGAAATATTAAATGACTCCAGAGTGTTTTGCTTGTCTAATTAGATTACTCCTATCACCAATCACGTCTCACTATCCTAAAATGATGATATTATTGCTTCTACTATTGAGTCCTCTGTAGGCTTGGATGCAGTAGAGTTTAAAGAAGAAAACAGAAATTAAAGACTGTTAAGAATACTATTGGTTTACCTAAAATGCAACATAAATAATTTTTACCCCAGGAATTGGGGTGATTTTGTGTTTGTGCTACAAAAATAGAGTGAAATCTTTCCTACTGCCCAGCAAGTCACTTTCCGCACTGCTCCCTCCAGATCTCCATCAGCCTTTTGCACATCAGCTCTTATTTGTAATTGCATCATTGCTCTGCCAGTCTGCCTCTTCCATGACAACATGGTAGCCTTGAGGTCATAGACTATACACCCCACCACGGTGCCTCAGATACATAGTAAGTTTATAATATATGTTTATAAAAATAAATGCGTAAGAGATTTGCAGGCCTTCTTTCTCTGTTTCTGTCTCCGTATAAGGCTAATGTGTATCTCTTTAGGATGATTGAGAAGTTGTCTAGAATCTAAACACATTAAATCATGATTGCACCTAATTATAAAACTCAAGGTTGATTCATGCAGATTTTACTTGTAAAATATGTATTTTTTTAATTTTAAAGAGTTATCATACATTTGACAAATAAAAGGAAGTAGGCAGTAGAGAAAGGCATATAAATGAAAATTAAGTTTATCTGTTATTTCAAATCTTTGGGAAATAATTGAAAGCAAAAGTCGGAGTGGTGACTGGAACACATTGTACAGAAAAGTCTAAATGATACCCGTGATATATTTGATAATATGGAATTAGCATGTCAAGAGAATTCCAAAAGCAGAATATGAGATTGCTGCTGTCTCTGTTAGTCAATGGCCATAGTGATCCCCCACCATGCTGATGGACGGTGGCCCTTCTGAAAAGGGAGCCCAGGGTAGCTATCCCAGAGTCATTGTGAGATTTCATCAGGGATGTCTCTAAGATACCCACCGAGATCTGAGTATATTCTTTTATTGCTGCAGCTATCTGTTCTCAGTTGAGGTAATGTGAGAAATTGGCTGGTTGAGAACCCTCCTAAGCATTGAGGATGCTTGTTATAAATGCACTCACACACGCATACGAACATACATAGGAAGAAACATAATCGATTTCTTACACAGAAACAAGTACATATATGAAACACAATTGAATTTCTTCTGTTTAATAGGTAAATTCCTAATTTTATAACTAAGAAATGACCTCATCTTATACTAGCCATCAGTAAAGTCAAAGTAGCAATATTCTGTTTTCAATTATAGCCTAAAGAAACACATATACAGGCCAGGTGCGGGTGGTTCACGCCTGTAATCCCAGCACTTTGGGAGGCCGAGGCAGGTGGATCACAAGGTCAGGAGTTCAAGACCAGCCTGGCCAAGATGGTGAAACCCCGTCTCTACTAAAAATACAAAAAAATTAGCCGGGTGTGGTGGTGGGTGCCTGTAATCCCAGCTACTTGGGAGGCTGAGGCAGAGAATTGCTTGCACCCAGGAGGGAGTGGTTGCAGTGACCCAAGATCGCGCCACTGCACTCCAGCCTGGGAGACAGAGTGAGACTCTGTCTCAAAAAAAAAAAAAAAAAAAAAAAAAGAAACACACATACATAGACATACATTGTCACATTCACAGGCATTTGTGGATGAAAAAAGGACTTGATTTTCTTAAGGAGGATAAACTTAAGGAACATACACATATAGATACATGTATATCATTTTCTACATTGACATGTTAATGTATATAACATATATATTACATGTGTGTATAAATGTATGTATGTATAGTATCCTATTGCTGCAGAACAAATTACTACAAACTTTTTAGTGACTTAAAAAAACACCCATTTATTACTTCACAGTTTTTGTGAGTCAGGAGGTCAGGAGTCTGGGGACAGTTTATGTCCTCTGTTTAGGGTCTCACAAGGCTGAAATGAAGATGTCAACCAGGTGGCATTCTTATGTGAAGGCTCTGAGAGGAACGATCCACTTCCTAGCTTCTTCAGGTTATGGGCACAGTTCATCTCCTTGCAGCTGTAGAAGTCATGGTGGCCTGCTTCCTCCAAACCAGCAATGGAGAGAGAGTAATTGCTGCCTGCAGTCTCTGACTTCTACCTCTGCTCATTGGGCTCTTGGCCTAGTTCTCTCTCTCTCGCTCTCTCTATGTGTGTGTGTTGGGGAGGTGGGGAGGTGGGGGGAGAGAGAGAGAGAGACAGAGAGAGAGAGAAAGATGCTTTTTAAAGGGCCTGATTAGGTCAGACCCATGCAGTATATATATTCCTTTTTATTAACTCTATAGGGGCTCGAACAAAATCTGCAAAATCCCCCAACCTTTGTGATATAACATAACGTAGTCAGGGGAGTGATAACCCCATCAAGTTTGCCATATTCTCTTGTTGAAAGCAGGCCACAGGTCCAGCACACACTCGAGGGGAGGAGATTGCACAAAGATACTGATGCTGGGGCGGGAATCATGGGAGCCACCCTAGTGAGTATCTGCCATGCATATATTTCCAATTTCCCAGAGAAATTTCTATTTGTCAACTAACTTGATAAAAATAAGTATCACTTGTATTATCCATGAGATATAGATAATATTTTATTTTTCTCTTCAATCTCATCAAATTTATCAAAAAATACTATGTTACCTCTAAAACCTATCAAAAATGTCCCCCCTTTATCCCTCCTGAATCCACCATATTTGCTGGTGCCATTTTCCACATGGCCTATACCCCCATCCTCTTTCTCATCATTCCTTGCAGAGTTAAAAGTATTGTAACACAGCAGAGCCTATTGTGCTCAATGCTTGAAACCCTCTCATGGGTTGCTAGTGCATTTGGAGTAAAATTTAAGCTACTTTTAGTGGCCAAGAGTCCATATTGGTTAAGATAAGTTCATTTGCAAATAACAGAAATTCCAAATAAACAGTTTTCATTTTTTTCACAAGAGTCTTGAAGACATGCAGTCTGAAGGCTTTGCTCCAAGATGTTTTCAGTTGCCCCTTCCAGCTTCCATGACCACACCACCCCAGGAGTACAGACCTGGCTCTTTGTCCGAGGTAATATTTGGGTAACTGACAGCAGGAAAGAGGAAGGGGAAATATAAAAGAAGGATCAGGCCGGGCGTGGTGGTTCATCCCTGTAATCCCAGTACTTTGGGAGGCTGAGGCGGGAGGATCATGAGGTCAGGAGATTGAGACAAGCCTGGCCAACATGATGAAACCCCGTCTCTACTAAAAATGCAAAAAATTAGCCGGGCGTGGTGGTGTGCACCTGTAATCCCAGCTACTCATGAGGCTGAGGCATGAGAATCGCTTGAACCAAGGAGGTGGAGGTTGCAGTGAGCCGAGATTGCGCCATTGCCCTCCAGCCTGGGTGACAGGGCGAGACTCGTCTCAAGAAAAAAAAAAAAAGAGGAGGACCAAAGAGTACAGCTGTCCCTGTGGAAATCTCCTGGTTGATGCCACATGACACATTCGTTTTTACCACATTGGCCAGATCTTAGTCACATGACCCCACCGGATCTCAAGGCAGGCTGGGAAATTTGGCATTTATCCCAGGTGGCGTATGCTCAGTCAGAAGTTGGTGACTTTATTTACATTGAAAGATGAGAAGAACGAATACTGGAGGAAATCCAACAATCTGCTTCAGTCTGCCCCCGGCCAAACACGTATTTGTATGTATTCTTCACCCCACACATAACACACTCACCTGCTCCCAAAAGGAGGCAAGCCCGAAGATCTAACCAGTTACTGCATCTGAACTGAAGTCCAGAATGCCTGTGTCATTCACGTCCTCTCCCCCGGGTCTGTGTATTGCTTTTCTTATTTTGGTGACTGACAAACTAAAAGACAGGTTATCCATGCCCTGTATTACCCCATATTCAATGGAGCAGTGGCACAGGAAACTGTAATAAAAACTCTCATTTGGAGAGGAAGAGGATGGGAAACACAGGCCAGAAAGTATTTCATAGCAATTAACACATTTTACTGGTCAAGAATAACAGATTCCCATCGCTGGCAGTAGAGAATATGGGGTTTACTCCATGGGGCCTGATTCTGCCTTCTGGAAGGAATTCCATTGTTCACTCTCTTTGTGCCCTCTGTCTCATCCCTTCAAGAGATTGTTCTTAGCACATTATTCATGACCTTACCCAAAAAAGGACATTGCAGAATATGCTGCTTTTGGCACTGCATAGTCAGCATAAGCTTTGGGGCCCAGGGTTCTCTTGCAATCTGAAGACTGGCAGGGGCTTGAAGCTTGGAAATGTGGTTTATTGGATAGTACAGTCTTTCAAAAACTCAGAAGTCTTCTGATTACTTATTCACGATAATTCTGTCTGCAAATAATTATCGCTAAAGGCACTTTCTAGGAAGTTTTTACACCCAAAATCTCTGGCCCTGCCTATCTCAGCCTTGGTCAGCTACAGAGTGACTCCCTCCCTTCTGAAATCATAAACTTTTCCCCATTCTCAGCCCCAGCTCTTGTCCGTCAGGGTCATCCTTTCGCTTCCTGCCATCTCTGCACCTCAGATCTACTCCGGAGTCATTGATTCAATCTTATCTTATTACATTCTCTTCTCATTTGCTGGGCTCCAGCCAGAGGGTCTTTTGATCAGTTCTTTGCATACGCTGACTTCTTTGTCTGCACAAGGTCACTGCTGTGTGCCGCTTCTCCCTAAAATGTTTTCCCCACTCATCCTGTTTTCTTCTTCCTATCCTTCAAGGACTGACTCCATTTCATTTTTCAGGTTCAACTGTCATCTATTAAGAGATGCTTTTCTGGCCACTATGTGTAAATCAGTCTCCTGTGTTTTTTATTTGAATTCTACCCCTGTTCCCCACCCCCAGATGTTCTCCAGACATGAGCTTCTCAGACATGAGCTTGCATCGGAATCACCTGGAGGGCTTATTACAACGCAGATTGCTGAGCCTGGTTCCCAGACTCTCAGATTCAGTAGATCTGAGGTTCTGAGGCGGGGCCTACGAATTTGTGTTGCTAACAATTTCTCAGTGGCCGATGCAGATGCTTCTGATCTGGGGGCCAAATTTTGAGAACTACTGCTGTTGGGTAAAAGCATTTGAGGTTTGGTACCAGGTTGTCTTTTTCTTTCTTTTTTTTTTTCAGGGCTGGTTTTTTTTTTTTTTTATTATTATTATACTTTAAGTTTTAGGGTACATGTGCACAATGTTCAGGTTAGTTACATATGTATACATGTGCCATGCTGATGTGCTGCACCCACTAACTCGTCATCTAGCATTAGGTATATCTCCCAATGCTATCCCTCCCCCCTCCCCCTACCCCACAACAATCGCCAGAGTGTGATGTTCCCCTTCCTGTGTCCATGTGTTCTCATTGTTCAATTCCCACCTATGAGTGAGAATATGCGGTGTTTGGTTTTTTGTTCTTGCGATAGTTTACTGAGAATGATGATTTCCAATTTCATCCATGTCCCTACAAAGGACATGAACTCATCATTTTTTATGGCTGCATAGTATTCCATGTGTATATGTGCCACATTTTCTTAATCCAGTCTATCATTGTTGGACATTTGGGTTGGTTCCAAGTCTTTGCTATTGTGAATAGTGCTGCAATAAACATACGTGTGCATGTGTCTAAATATTGTGTGCTCGACCCCTAGCATAGATTCTGTAACATGGTATGCAATCATTAAGTATTTGGGGAATGAATTATTAAATCGGTAGTTTAAGAAATGCATATGTGTGTATGCTACTTATCTTATGTAGTCTACTTCTGGAATGAGTGTTGGTTAAAAACATAAACTGCTGTGCCCAAGAATCAAGTCATATACCAATTTAGTTCCCATCTCATGCTGTGGTGTCAAGAGCTAAGTCTTCTAGCTCCTTGCCAAAGTTAAGTTCATCAAATGATGAGAACGCACATAGGGAAGGAGTGAGCCCTTACACAGGATCAGCTGAGGATTTGCTTGGAATGAGTTGGAAATGTGATGGATATGACAGCATGTGAATGACACAGTTCAGTTCTACGATTATGGTTATAGTCATTTGAGTTCTCTTGTGATGTTCAGATTATATAAGACCTATGGGCAATTCTGAGAATAGTTCCCTAAATTTAGATTACTGAGAAAAAAGTTGCCTCGGTATTAGAATGTATTGATCTGAAGTACATATGAGCACATGCCACTTGCAAATCGGTGGCCCATGCGCAGAATCTGAGTAGGGGATGTGTTTTGTTGGCCTGCGCAGTATTTTTTAAACATGGAAAATTTCACATTAATGTTCAGATATCTGACTTCTCTAGAAAAATTGAAAGATGAGGTAAAGCTAGCAACAGTCTGCCAGACCTGGCCTATCTAGTTTGGTCAAGGACTCCTGTGATATTGTAGAATATATATTTGGTCTTTGATCCCATTTCCTAACATACAACTCCTAAAATCCTTAGAATCTCCGAAGTGATGTCTTTTTGTATGCTAATGAGTTGGCTGATGGCTGGCAGTCCCTAGGTGGCTTCAGGATGGGGACCGGACGCTGAAAAGACCAATGCATGATTGGAGGGCTGGGACTTTCAGCCCTACCCCTCAACTTCCAAGGAGGGGAAAGGGGCTGAAGGTTAAGTTGACCACCAATGGCCAAAGGTTTAGTCAATCATGCTTACATAATGAAGCTTAAAAAAAAAAAAAAGAGGATAGGGTTCTGAGAGCTTCTGGATAGCTGAACATGTGGCAGTTCCTGGAGGGTGGAGCCATTCAGGAAGGTCATGGAAGCTCCACAACCCTTCCTCCATACCTCACCCTATGCATCTCTTCACCTGTATCCTTTGTAATATCCTTTATAATAAACCAGTAAGCATAAGTGTTCCCTAGGTTCAGAAAGCCACTCTAGCAAATTAATTGAACTCAAGCAGGGGATCATGGGATCTCTAATTTCCAGCTGGTCTGTCAGAAGCACAGGTGAAATAAACTGGGACTTGTAATTCGCGTCAGAAGCAAGGGGCATTCTTGGGGACTGAGCCCTCAACCTGTGGGATCTGACGCTATCTCCAGGAAGAGAGTGTCAGAGTGGAACTGAATTAGAGGACTTCCAGCTTCAGTCTGCTGCAAAATTGATGGCTTGCTTGTTGGTGAGGTGTGGGTTGTGAGGAGAGGGTAACTAACTTGTCCTTCTGTTCATAGATAACATGTGCATGGGGGAAAACTGCAGAGTGATTATCCCAACTCCCCAGTGGGGTTCAGAAGCTTATGTACCATCTTGAGGTTGCAGAAAGAATGGGGGCTTGGATTGTGGCAAAACAGGTTGTGATTATGGGAGGGAGAGAAGAGGAGCCCTGGCTAGCAAAGATCACTTGTTATGTAGATGAAATCTCACAGGTAGCCGCCCTCAGAGAGAATAGATGGTAAATGTTTCTTTCAGACCTTCAAAGGTGTCGACAGTCGGTTAATCTTTCCTAGATCTGGAAGAGGACAGGGGAGGCCCTTGGAGAAAGCCTGGCTACATCAATGCAGATTTTCTCTGCAGATGTGTATCTCCCCGACAAAAGACAGCTTTGCATGGCTACTTCTATCTGCTGGCCCTCTGAACATCCATCTCAAAATATGTCCGAGAAGGATGTTTTGAGATATTTTGATTTCCTCCACCCTGTATTTGAAAAGAGGGGTGCTATGCAGTCATCTCCACAAAAAGCTACTGAGCCCTAGGACTGAGCAGGCTGAGTGAAATCACCTTCTTTTCACTGATAAAGTTAGGAGGTCACTGCCAAGTCTTGCTTCAGGCCCCGTTTCCTGGCTCCCTCGAATGAACCCCCTTTCTGACCTTTTGGCTGTGTTAAGCCGCAAATGGTTATGCCTTCCTGGCCACGGAGCCTGTCTCTGCTTAATCTGACACTGCTCATATCTGCCCCTATTATATAGTTTATGTAGTGGCAAATTCCAAAACAATTTAACTCCCATCTTCAACACATTTTTTAAAGTAATATTGTCATTTCCAATGTGCCAACTCTGGAACTATATTCTAAATATGACATGGGCTTTAACAATGGCAACAGCTATCAATAGACTATAAACTTGGTTTAGAACCAGAGTCAGACTGCCTTACTTCAAATTCTCCTCTTGTATTTATTAGCTGTGTGAACTCGGGGAAGAAAGCTTATAACTTTAAGACTCAGTTTTCCCTTCTGTAAAATGGGAATAATAATGATAATGCTTACTTGATGGTGTGACCAGTGGAGAACCTGTATGGGTCTGCAGAAACTCGATCCTTGCCTCTTCAAAGGAAAGAATTTGGCCAAGGGGTAGAAGTGGGTTTAAGGCAGCGGGAGAGATACAGGCAAGTTTTAGAGCAGGAGTCAGAGTTGTTTAAAAAGCTTTAGGGCAGGAACAAAAGGAAGCAAAATACACTTGCCAGAGGACCAAGTGGGTGACTTGAGAGATCCAGTGCCCCATCCGGTCCTTGACTGGGGTTTTATACCTTGGCAGGGTTTTTGGGCTTGCATTTCTTCTCCCCTGATTCTTCCTTCGGAGCGGGCTGTCCGCATGTACAGTGGCCTGTCAGCACTTGGAAGGGGCTGCGTGCGCAGTGTGTTTACTGAAGTTGTGTGCATGCTCACTTGAGGCGTTTTTCCCTTACCAGCAGAGCGTTCCTGGAGGAAGCTCATATACCAGTTAAACGCCGCCATTTTGCCTCTTAGTGCACATGCTTAGCGTGCTCGCCCAACTTCTGAGATCTTATTTGGAAGCTGATCACCAGTTTCAGGTGTTTTATATCTATTGGGAGACGGTCTTTCTTTGGTACCAGCTGCAATCAATTATTATTTTAGAGAAATAGTTTAACAACCTCCTGACCATTACCTAGTGGTCAGCTGACATTCCTGGGGAGGGGTTGGGGGTCCTCTCCTGACCTGCTCACGTCTGCCTAGCTACCTGCTTTAACAATAGAACAGTTGGCCGGGCACGGTGGCTCAAGCCTGTAATCCCAGCACTTTGGGAGGCCGAGGCAGGTGGATCACCTGAGGTCAGGAGTTCGAGACCAGCCTGACCAAGGTGATGAAACTCATCTCTACTAAAAATACAAAAATTAGCCAGGCGTGGTAGCAGGCGCCTGTAATCCCAGCTACTCGGGTGGCTGAGGCAGGAGAATCGCTTGAACCTGGGAGGTGGAGGTTGCAGTGAGCCGAGGTGGTGCCATTGCACTCCAGCCTGAGCAACAGAGTGAGACTCTGTCTCAAAAAAAAAAAAAAAAGCAATAAAACAGTTATGATTACATGAGATGTAATGTACATGTATTACATGTATACATACAATGTTAGCAAATTTCCTGGCACTTATAGAAATGAGAATTAAATTGAATATTAGTTATTATTATTAATATTAGTTATTATTAATGTGTCATGGTCACATTATTAGTTACTATCATTAATATAATTCGTTATATTAGTTATTATTAGTTATTAGTTATAATAATATAATTATTATATATTAGTTATTATTAATGTGTCATGGACTGTGCCATTAGTTATTATTAGTTATTATTATTAATGTGTTATTAGTTATTATTATTAATGTGTCATGGACTGTGCCATTGTGCAAACAGTTTTAATTATCTCTTAAAAACACCAGTTAGGTGAAGAGTGCTGACCAGATCTGAATGGAAATTTTGCATCTGTCAAACACAGTGGTCTTCCTGTGTCAGTGTAAGAACTCACGGATTCTCTGATGGCTACTTTTGGATACATTCATCACTATGGCCCTTTCTCCTGGCTTAGTTCCCTCAAAAATTACATTTAAGTTTTTTGATACAACTGCATATGCAGACACAACCTTGGAATGATGTAATTTCTATTTTAAAACTCCTCCTGAAAGAAGGCATTTGAGTTGAAGATTTCTTAAATCATTTCTACAGGTGGTTTGGGTGTTATTAGGTTGGGGCAAAAGTGATCATGGTTTTTTAATGGCAAAAAAAACTATCACTTTTGCCCCAACCTAATAATTAATGTCTAACCGGATTCAAAATGCATTATCCACCATACTCCTTCTGATTTCACACCAGTAAAATGCAGCAAGCGACAGGAGTCCACTTTGCAAAGTCCTGCTGTAGATGACAAGGCCGGGATGGTTTGATAAGGTCAGGAAAAGATGAATCAAATTTCAATAAAAAGATTTAATAAGCTGGAACAGTACCCCAAAATTTGCAGCTTCTTCCATAACCCCAGGGCAACGTAGATATCAAACTGGCGAATCGCCATTTGAATTCTGAATTGATTGGTTGCCATTAGGAAACAGTTGTTATGTGAAGGGTACAATTGATAATACAGGGAAAGAGCCAATGTAGAAAAATGACTCTGAGTTTTGGGAGCATGAAAGTTACAAAATCCAAACATATATTCTGCAGCCAGTTCTAGACTGCTACGTGTTTCACCTTATTCCACACACCGTTCAGGGGATGAGTCCAGTTCTTGATTGCTACGTGTTTCACCTTATTCCACACACCGTTCAGGGGATGAGTCCAGTTTCTTGATTGCTACATGTTTCACCTTATTCCACACACCGTTCAGGGGATGAGCCACTCATTGTCTCTCACTTGGAAGAGGAACAGAATAATGTCTATTATTCAACATCTGACATGAATTTTGTAAGGAAGGTGAGATCCTACCCAGAGCTCTTTGGACTGTTGAGAATGAAGGCATTTTGTTGATCCATGGGCTGAGTCTGTATCACAAGATGACAAAGCAAGTGTAATGGAATATTTCTTTTCCAAAGTTCCTTTCAGGACAACACTTAGCCCCAAATATTTCCAGATGAAAACCCTATTTCTTTTTCTTTTTCTTTTTCTTTTTTTTTTTTTTTTTTTTGAGATGGAGTCTCGCTCTGTCACCCAGGCTATAGTGCCGTGGTGCTATCTTGGCTCACTGCAAGCTTCACCTCCCAGGGATTAAAACCCTATTTCTGACAGGTAATAAAAGGTAGAAGAACCTCAAGTCCATATTATCTAAAGCAGAACCTCAAGCCCATATTACTTAATATAAAGTTGTAAGTGCTCTACCAAACGCATGATGAAATGACCCAAGGAGCAGGTTTTCTTTCTGCCATATTGATTTAACTTTCCTAGTGGTGACTCAGTTTCTTACCTGCTGTGTTTTTGGCTTAGAACACCCTCTCCCTTTCTCCTCTTCCCATCCCTCATCCACCTGGCTGCATAATTCTTGTCCTGTGTATACTTAACTCAGTATCACCTCTTCTGGGAAATGCTTTCCAAACTGTCCTACTTCCAGTTTGACTTTGATGTCTTTCTTCTATTTTCTTCTTCTTCGGTCCCATAACACTTTGCTGATATCTCAGTGTCCTTATAAACCAAGCAGAAATAGCTTATTTGTTATACATTTTTGAGCATCTAATAGATGCTCAGTATGTTTGTTCAGTAAGGGATAAATTAGTGAGTAGGTGAGTGGGTGGGTGGATGGATGGATGGAAGGAAGGAAGGGCTATATTTCCCTGGAGAATTTGGAAAGTTCCTACATTTAGGTTGTTCTAGAAGGATAAGTAGGTGTTTTTCAAAAAGAGGAGAAAAGGGGTTTCTTTGTAGAAAGAACAACACATAAAAGGGACATGGAGATAATGAAAACATGGCGATTAGGAGGAGTAAGGGCTTTAGTGTGTAGGAAGACAGGTGGGTGAGATACAGTGAAATTGGGTGTGTAATGTAGAATGTAATATTGAACAGATCAGGTAAGATTCAATTCTGAAAGGCTTGTAAGCCAGAATAAGCAGAAAAGGAAGCATTGTAACTTCTTAGGCAAGCAATTGATATAGTAAAAATGAATTATGTGTTCATAAACAATGTAAAAGATAAAAAACATTTATTATTCCTTTGTGAACACCATATGGAGTTTGTGAAGTTTATGGAGCTTGTGAACTTGAAAAAGCTCATATATCTTGAAAAATAAGAATTGGCACAAACTCTTGGGTGCTATTTTGAGACATATTGCAGAAATAAATTGATGGATGGAGAGACAGATAGACGGTTTCATGGGTAGATTTGTAATAAAATTGATTTTTATGATTTTCAGTGCATATGAAAACCCCAGGCATTTTTGTTTAATTGAACTTCAATGTGGCTTTTGGGATTGAAAATCACATTTCTAATCTTTTGATATTTTTGACCATAAAATTTTAGGCATCTGAAGAGTAAGTGCTATTGTGTCAAAGCCACTGACTCTCTGGGATGAATTAAAATTCTAAACTGGTAGGGAAAAGGTCAGGGAAACTTTTTCTACCTGAGTTTGGGGCAGATCTAAAATACCCTTCACACTAACACAAGTATTATCATTGCTGGCATATCTTCTCCATTGCTTGTATGTTAAAAGATCCATCCATGCATTCATCTATTTAACATTAACACGGCTGCACTTACTTGACAAATGTTGTTTTTCCAGTTCTGTTTTAAGGCAGATATTTTGAACTAAAAAGATGTGAAGAAAGATAGCGCTTGGGTTTGAGCATAACGTGGGGTCTCTACATCATTGTGCACTTCTGTGGAAGGTGTTTAGTGTTTTATGAGAGGCCAGATACTTACAGACATGTACAGGTAACAAGTCTATATCTGTGTGAATATCCACCCATTGGATGTTCACCAATAAGCAAATGTGTGATATTGTGTTGTATAATCCTAAATCGCATAGCTCTGTGGTTGGCAAAGTTTTTCTGCAAAGGGCCAGATAGTAAACATATTTGGCTTTCAGGTATCTGTCACAACTTCCCAACTATGCTATTGTGGATCAAAAGCAGCTATAGACAATATGTAAATGAATTAGCATGGCTGTGTCCTAATAAAAGTTTATTTATGGGGACAGGCGTGGTGGCTCACACCTGTAATTCCAGCACTTTGGGAGACTGAGGCGGGCGGATCATAAGGTCAGGAGATGAGACCATCCTGGCTAACACGGTGAAACCCTGTCTCTACTAAAAATTAAAAAAAAAAATTAGCCAGGCGTGGTGGCGGGCGCCTGTAGTCACACCTACTCGGGAGGCTGAGGCAGGAGAATGGCGTGACCGGGAGGTGGAGCTTGCAGTGAGCCCAGATCGCACCACTGCACTCCAGCCTGGGCAACAGAGCGAGACTCAGTATCAAAAAAAAAAAAAAAGAAAAGAAAAGAAAAGAAAAAAGTTTATTTATGGACACTACAAATTAGATTTTATATAATTTTCACATATTATGAAATATTATGCTTTTTATTTTATTTTTTTCAACCACTGAAAAGCCTGAAAACATTCTTCACTCCCGGGCCCAACAAAATCTGATGGCAGGCCAGATTTGAGCCATGGTCAGTGTTTGCTGACCCCTAGCAGATATGATGGTCTCTGCATCTAGAACAGCTGTCTGAATTTGCCTGATAGATCTATATTCAGGTTGCATGGAAGAGAAGCATCTGTTCCTTTGATACACATTTTTACTTGAGTGTAGGTGACAATGATTCTCACACCAGCAGTGAACGACTTTTTGCAGCAGGTGGTTGACCACAGGGAGCGAACCAAGGAACACACTATGAGTCATGGAGGGAAGCCTATGTAGGGGGACCCCTTGCCTATTCCAAAGGTTTCCCAGCCTCAAGTCCTCTCCCCGTTCACTGAAACAGGTCAGAGCATCAGCCTTTTCAGGAGCTGACAATGGCCAGCACTTCTGGAGGTAGGTAGAAGCAAAGGAGAAGGGCATTCAGCAGGAGCAGAGTGGAACTTGTCTCCAGGTTCCATATTAGCTCTCTCTTCCTTCTCTTCCAAGAGCTACCAGTGGCACACTGATATGAATTGCACTAATAAAAGTGAAAGTCTTTTTTTTTTTTTAATTCCACCAGACAACTGGAGAAAGTGGAAGTTTTAACAGCTGACTGACCAAATAACGTACTTACTCTTGCTAGGGATTTTTAAAACATATATGTACACTCACACATATGTATGTAATGAATATATGCAAGTACAGGAAGCAGACTGTGGTTAGAGTTTGGAATATAGGATGCTAATTAAAAAGGATCCTTGGTAATGACATCTGGAAGGGAAGAGAGGAGACAGTAGTGAGGAGGGGGAGAAATTGAGCTACAATGCAGGCCCAGCCACACAGACCTCACAGGGAACTCCACAATCAGAATGGATCTTCAGAGTTGTGCCAACTTGGCTCAAGACAGACAGGTTTTATTGATTGTGTCAGTTGATTGTGAGTCACCCAGGAAGGGGTGTGACCTTGTGTGAGGCAGTTCTCTGCAGCTGGGTCAATCCCTGATGTAGTTGACAGCTGAAGGCTGTCTGCTGGCTGCTCTTTGAGACCTGACCTACAAGTCTTCGGTGAAGGGATTTCCCCTCCCCTCCCCTCCCCTCGTCTCCCCTCCCCTCCTCTCCCCTTTCCCTTTCCTTCCCCTTTCCATCTATCATCTATCTAGCATCTATCTTTCTTTTTTTTCTTTTTTTTGAGACAGAGTCTCTCTCTGTTGCCCAGGCTGGAGTGCAGTGGCACAATCATGGCTCACTGCAGCCTTGACCTCCTGGGCTCCTGTGATCCTCTTGCCTCAGCCTTCCTAGTATCTGGGAGCACAAGTGTGCGTTACCATGTCCAGCTAATTTTTTGTTTGTTTGTGTTTCATAGAGACAGAGCCTTGCTTTGTTGCCCAGGTGGTCTTGAACTCCTGAACTCCTGGGCTCAAGCAATCCTCCAGCTTCAGGCTCCTAAAGGACTGAAATTACAAGTGTGAGCCACCACTCCCAGCCTAGCATCTATCTTTCTGTCTGTCTGTCTATGTATATGTATCTATCTATCTATCTATCTATCTATCTATCTATCTATCATCATTTATCTTTCTATCCTCTATCTCAGGTGTGTGTGTGTGTGTGTGTGTGCGTGCGTGTGTAAATTTAGGAACTCTAATATTATAGAACCTAGACAGTGCCTAGCACTTGACATCATTTGTGTGTAGGACTATGATTGATGTTTGACTAGGAATCATAATCCCTGTGGTAGTTACTATAATTTTATCTAGTCATGAAGAAAGGACTAAGAAGTACTTGAGGCTTACGGAGAAGAGACAACCCAAAAGAAGGATTTCTGATTCTCAGCCTATGATCCATTTGGCCTATTTTTAAAACCAGACAGTATCTAAATATGAGATTTTTAAAAATCACTCTACTTGAAACCCAGTGTTCAGTTGTAAAATGCAGTTTCTCCATGTATGTTTGTTTTCCATATTTTTTTTTTCTAAAGTCTACTGGAAATTTCATTTTGAGACTGGGGAAATAATTTTACCTCAAACATACTTAACCTTTGACAACCTTATTTAAAAGGTGCTCAATTTGGGTTTAACTTTTGTAACAGCCTAGGTCATTTCCTTTTTTTTTTTTTTTTTCTTTTTTTCAAGTGAGCATAAATTTTGAACAATGTGCTTCTCAGGGCTTTCTTACAGTTCTCAAATCTCTTGGCCTTTCATTGATCCCTAAAAAAGATAAAAGGTGTCGTATCTCTTTTTTCCTTCTACTATACTAATTTATGCATGTCTTCATTTTTATTTTTTAAAGACACATAATCTGGCCAGGTGAGGTGGCTCACGCCTGTAATCCCAACACTTTGGGAGGCAGAGGAGGGGAGATCACTTGAGGTCAGGAGTTCACCAGCCTGGCCAACATGGTGAAACCCATATCTACCAAAAAATACAAAAATTAGCTGGGCCTCGGGGTATGCACCTGTAATCCCAGCTACTTGGGAAGCTGAGGTGGGAGAATTGCTTGGACTGGGAGGCAGAGGTTGCCACTGCACTCCAGCATAGGCAAGACAGTGAGACCCTGACTGAAAAAATAACAAATAAAATAAAGACACATAATCAAAATGATTGTATTGCAATATTAATCAATTGAAAGTGTTTATTTTGTTCTCATTACTAAGTATGAAATTTGCCTTTTTCAGTTTATCTTGAGAATAGTGAGTTTGTAATACAATCCCTTTTCTTGATTTTATTTTGATTTTCTTTTTCAGTCTGCGTGACATTCTTTTTTTAAAAAATGGCTCTTGGAACAGTATTTTTATTTTTTATTTTTTTGCAGGTTGCTCTCACCGTTGACTACATAAGCCCTAGACGTGAGCATTTGTTAGATGGCCTCCCCTCCCACGTCTGCCATCACTGACAGTGAAAGTCAGCCAGTGACCCTGAATTGTCTGCCATTTCTCTCTCCTCTTTGCCCTTGTCATCCAATAAGTCTCCCAGCTCTGCCAATTTTCCTCAGTTTGAGTTTTCAGATTTTAGCACCTGTAATAACTGCCCAAGGCTAGGTTCTAATTATCTCGCACCTGCAATATTTTAATGACCTCTGGCCAGTTTTCCCGACATTCGGGGAGACACCCTAACCCAGTAGCAGATTCATTTTCAAGAGTGTTCTAATCACTTCGCCTTCTCTGGGCACAGTCCTGGCTTTCACTGGCCTTTTCTTTCATTTCAGGGCCCCTGACCTTGGACATTGGGGTCCTCCTCCAGCTGCTACTTGCATGTTATGGCTTTCTTCCCCTGGACTCACCCCTCCTGATCCCCTAGGGCCACACTGGCCTCCTCCACAGCCAAACACGTTTCCCCTCAGGGTCTGTACTATTGCCTTTCTTGCTGCCTGAGATTCTTCCCTTCCTGTTTCTCCTTGGGGCTCTTTGTCTCCTTGCAGTTAGGACTCTGATCAAAGACCCATCTTCACAGACCAGACCTAACCAACTGCCCAGAAGAGCGAGCCTCCACTATCCTGTCTCCTTACCCTCCCTTATTTTCATTCATGGCACTAATCAGTATCTGAAAATACTTTATATACGTACTACTTGCTTCCTGTCTAACTTCACCACTAGAATCTCGCCACAAAAACAGGACACATGTCTGTCTCCTTCACTAGGAGTCCAGGGCTGCCAGTGTTTGGATACAGAAGAGAGCACAGGATTTACACTGACCATCAGTGCCATTACACATTTTTATCATGTATGTGAAAGCACTTTACAGAACTCAAAAAATAGACAGATAAGCATTTAGTCCTTGATTTTGTGCCATAGTACTGTATCCTGGAATACTTCCCATCCTCCTCACGTTCAAACCCCATTTCTTCCTTCCTTCCCATCTCAGCCTAAGACTGGCTTCTCCATTAGGACTTTCCCTTGCTGTATTTGAAGAGACCAATCAACAGCACTTGCTTCTCTGTCCCTATTCTGGACAAATTGAAACATAGAACAAAGTAGTAAGGCCAAGGAGATCAGGTTTCCACCATTATTACTGAAAAAGTCTACACTGCGGGATGTGGTTTAGATCTGCAGGTAAATGTGTTATCCAATGCTGAACACCCAAAGAGGTGGGCTTACCTGCCCCAACACAGGTGGTACCGCACTGGGGCAAGCCCCCCTCTGTTGGGGAATGTCTTTCTGGAGGAGCAGCACAGAGTATTTCCCTTTACACATTTTCCTTCCTTGCCTTTTGTAAATCTAACCACTTTTTTTTTTTCAAATCATCTGAACTCATCGATATAACTTGTATAACTCTCTTCTTCACCAAATTGTTCAGCGCCTCATAATATGTGTTATAATATGATTCTCATGTTAAATGCTCAGCAATGATTACTCATGTTAAAGTGGATTGATTACATTGCATCCAGCTTGAAGGCAGTGCATTTGGTCTCACAGTACCTGCACAAATGCTGTGCCCTCATGGCAGGTGTCACCACTTCTAATGTGACTCTCCATGATGCTCCCACCCTCAGTCATCAGCCTGACAAATGCATCTAATTTCTATCTTACAAAATGAACAAAATCTACCTGTGGGTTTATGTGCAAATCAACAATGACTATTCATTGTCAGTCAATGTTTACTCTTAGTGATGCTCGTATGGGAAATGTATTATTTGTATTACCCCAAGTTCCAATCATAAAACAACTCATCGATCTTTAAAATAAAAATGGGCACTGAGTTGCAGTCCAGGCATATTCAGTAAGTGACCTGATCAGTCAATATCAGTAAGGAGGTAGACAATAAGACCTTTGTATCAGTCAGGGGAGGTTAACAGGTAGTAACAAATAACCCCTGAATCTCATGGGCTTAAGACAAAGTTTTCTTCCTCACTCATACTACATGGCTGACTCTGGCAAATGGGGGCATTGCTTCTCAGGGGGCTCAGCCCCTGGAACGTTGCTGGCCACCATGGGAGGAGAAGGAGAGTATACTCACACCCACACATATACGAAATGCTCGGCAGAAGCGGCAGGTCTCTTCCACTCACAGCTCATTGGCCAGAACCAACCACATTGCTCCATTGAACACAGGGGTCCAAATGACATCCTCCTACCATTTCTCCACATCATAGAGAGCCAGAAGTACCTGACGAGGAGCATGACTAAATATTGCTGGCTACAACTGAGTCAGCAAGACCTACGCCTGCACAATATTCTGGAGTGTTCAATGGGCTTCAGGAATGAGTTGCATTCAGTGATGGAAAATAGCAATTGCTATTGATGAAGCTCCCAATTATTGTTGAATAACTTGAAAGAGTTTTAACTAGGATACCACTGCTCTGTCTTCAATGAATGATCGTATTTTCAACAGTGATGCAAAAGACACACTATCTGCATTTTCCTACTTTAAAATAATAAACATGAGATTATATTATAATATGGTGTTTTACACATATTTTTAAACCTGGATGGGGTTTTTGTTGTTGTTGTTCCAGAGTTACAGTTAAGAGTATCAAACATACGTGGCACTGGTCTTTAGGTCGTTATTCCCCCTTTCCCCTTAGAACTTTGGCTTGCCCAAAGATCTTTTTTTTTTTTTTTGGCTGCTAATGAGCTGGAATTATTGGCTTATTTTGTCCTCTTTTTTTCATTTTCACTCATTGGAAGCATTGAGAATGCTGCTTAAGTGGCCAAGAATCAGGTTATAAGAAGCAAATGCATAGAATGTTCTGGACTAGCTTTGTTGATGAAGTGAATATACCATGGGCATAGTTTGCCAAGGTGGCTCAGTCCATATCCTACAAGAGAGGAAGCACATGGTACCATGGAGCTTGTATTCCATTCATGATATCGATGGGTGCCAATGTGAACATTTATTTCTCCCTCTGTGATTAAGTTCTTTAACATTAATTAAAGAGGAATTCTACTTCATATTTTCCTGGCTCTTCTAATGCAAACTTTATCCTATAGTGTGTCTTCTCACTAACCAGAATAGCAATACAATGGAAATGGAGTCACCTCATTAGGTGTAACCCAAGTGTTGTGGCAGCCTGGTGTTGCAGGTGATGGGTTGATGGGTGCAGCAAACCCATGGCATGTGTATACCTATGTAACAAAACTGCACGTTCTGCACATGTAACCCAGAACTTAAAGTAAAAAAAAAAAAAAAAAAAAAAGAGTTCCTAATCCATCCTGTCAGTTCACTTGACATCTCCTATCTGCAGTGTCTTTGACAGAGTTGAGTGTTTCTCCTCTCCTGGTTGTTTAGGATCCCTTCTTCAGCCCTTCACCCGCTGCATGCAGGTGGCACCCCTTCATTTTCCTTCTGCTGGAGTCTTCTTGCATGGCTGGACAGGCTTCCTGAGCAGAGTCTAAGGAACTTGGGCTTTCTTTGCTCTGACTCTCTGTGGGGACAGGTTGTTGCCCTCTCTTCAGGCCACAATCAGAACTGCGTATCCGCTACCGTCTCTCTTTCCATAGATGTTATAGCACAAATCAGACATCAGTCTGCGTGATAGCTAATTTTAGGTGTCAACTTGACTAGATTGAGGGATGCCTAGATGGCTGGTGAAACATTGTTTCTGGGCACGACTGTTAGGGTGTGTATGCAGGAGACTAGCATGTGCGCCAGTGGACTGAGTGGGGAAGATCCACCCTGATGTTGACAGACACCGTGCAAACAGCTAGGGGCCCAGATAGAAAAAGAATGGTGGAAGGAGGGGGCAGACTCTTGCTCACCTTCTCTTTTGGAGCTGGGATGCCCTTCTTCTCCTGGCCTTGGACATCCGGATTCCAGGTTTTCCCGCCTTTGGACTCCAGGGCTTGCAACAGTGGCCCTCTGGGTTCTTGTGCCTTTGGCCTCAGACAGAGCTACACCATTAACTTCCTTGATTCTCAGGCCTTCGGACTTGGACTGAGCCACTCTCCTGGCTTCTCTGGTTCTCCAGTTTGCAGAAGGCCTATGTGGGATGTCTCAGCCTCCATAATTGTGTGACTCCATTCCCCTAATAAATTCCCTCACATCTATCTGTATCTACATCTATATCTGTATTCTATTGATTCAGTCTCTTTGGAGAACACTGACTAATACAGTTTCCAAACCCCAGGGGCTACATATCAAGATGTCTAAAACCTTTCTCTTGGATTGAGGTGAGAGGCAAACTCCCCCACACTCCCTATGGGAGGGGGTTTATAGAACAATTTATCCAAATAAGCCTTATTTTAATTTCTAATCCTACCATTTTGAACCCTTAATATACATATCAGATTTATATCCTCAAGATGACTGAGGGACTCAGAGTCATAAAGTTTTTTTTTCTGGTTATCTTGTTTTCAAATCCTGATAAACAAGGACTTGGGGCCTTAGGCAAAACTGAGATTGAAATATTTCTATTTTAATGTTTTTATTATACAGACATTTCCTCTCAAATGTCCCTGCAAATTAACATAGAGTGAAAATATACATCTCTATAAATGGGTTAAATACCGCACCAAATGTGATTTTATTGATCACTATAGTTTATATTCTCAAATAAGTCACAACCATTTCATCATCTCTCTTCATTGTATAATACAAATGATTATTATTTTTTTGCTCAAATACGTTGCAGCCAGGATCTCTTTAGCTCATACGCATTGTACCCTTGGTCTGTGTATGCCCCAGGTACAGGGAGGACAGGTTGTATGATTCTTATGAAATGCCTATCTTGGGAAGCCGAGGCAGGCAGTTCACTTGAGGTCAGGAGTTCAAGACCAGCCTAGCCAACATGGTGAAACCCTGTCTCTACTAATACAAAAAATTAGCCGGGCATGGTGGCACACACCCGTAATCCCAGCTACTCGGGAGGCTGAGGCAGGAGAATCATGTGAACCCTGGAGGTGGAGGTTGCAGTGAGCTGAGATCCCACCACTACACTCCAGCCTGGGCGACAGAGCAAGATTCCATCTCAAAATATAAAAATAAAAGAAATGCCCACCACTCCCTCCTCTCCACTGTCAGTCACTATTGAACATGCAGCAAATGTTTCCAGCAGCCTCTTTAGTTATCTCCCAAAAACATTTATTGCTTGACATTGTGGGTATGGGGTGTGGTTAACCAAGAGTTAACAGCTACTGCTGGTTTAAAGGACATGGCCCAGCCATTTACTGGACAAAGGGAAAAGGGTCATTTATGTGTAGAACTTACTCTGGAGAGCAGGACCATGCCAGTGTACCTTGGGGACAGGGGAGGGGGAGTGGCATGATAAAGCCAGTCATGGCAGCAGCTTTAGTAAAAAAGAAAATGAGGCTGGGTGCAGTGGCTCATGCCTGTAATCCCAGCACTTTGGGAGGTCAAGGTGGGTAGATCACCTGAGCTCAGGAGTTTGAGACCAGCCCGTCTCTACAAAAAATACAAAAATGCAAAAACATTATCTGGGCGTGGTGGCACATGCCTGTAATCTCAACTATTCGGGATACTGGGGCAGGAGAATCACCTGAACCTGAGAGGTGGAGGTTGCAGTGAGCCGAGATTGCGCCACTGCACTCCAGCCTGGGCAACAAGAGCAAGACTTCATCTCAAAAAAAAAGAGAAAATGCTCACATTTTCTACTTGTAGAGTTCATTGGCTGTATTTTCTGCTTTCCACTTGGTTGTTTGCTGTGTATATAGCTAACACTTGAGAAATATTTTCTGCTTTCTGTTGAATTGGAACCACAGATATTTGTGCTAGATAGGACATTGAAGATCATTTAATCCAGTGATGCCCTGTTGGAGTGTGAAGGTGTTTTAGAATGTCAAAATGGTTGTAATTTTACATTTTTGTATGTGCTCATTAACGAAATACATAGTAGCCAAAAGATGTTATAAACTCTACAGTGCTTTTAAATGATACTGGTTTTCTTAGACACAGTAATCTACATGCATGTAAAACTGTTATTTGTTTTATGTGTGGTGTGCATACGCACATACATATATATATGACAAATAGTATATTCTGTTTTTATGTAGGACTTATTATAGAATGTATATGCATTTTCACATCTTTACAATAACACCAGTCTTGACCCAGCTGGTTAGCAACCACCAGCCTTGTCTATTATTTTATGAATGAAGAGAGCATCAGATGCAGTGACTTGCCCGAGGTCACCCAGTAGTAGAAGGGCTGTTTGTCATTTAGCATTATGATCATTATTTATATTTCAACTAATTATTATTTGAGCCTATTTTGTGTCAGGCACTGGGGCACTGAGCTGAGGTCTGGGAATAAGGTATTAAGATGTAGCTCAGCAGAAATTTAGAAAGACATACATAAGGAAACAAAAGGGTTTCTAACTTATCCTGACCACAGTTTTCAGCAGAACCAATTCATTACTGTCTGGCTATATAGAAATGAAGTCAATAGAAAATCTGAGGCCAGTCATGGTGGCTCATGCCTGTAATCCCAGCACTTTGGAAGGCCGAGGTGGGTGGATCACTTGAGGTCAGTAGTTCAAGACTGGCCTGGCCAACATGACAAAATTTTGTCTTTTCTAAAATTATAAAAATTAGCTGGGCATTGTAGCACACACCTGTAATCTCAGCTACTTGGGAGGCTGAGGCAGGAGAATGACTTGTATCCGGGAGGCAGATACTGCAATGAGCCAAGATAGCACACTATACTCCAGCCTGGGCAACAGGGTGAGACTCCGTCTCAAAAAAAAAAAAAAAAAAGAAAAAGAAAAGAAAGAAAATTTGAAAACACCATATAGTCAAGGCAAAGCTATCCTGTCACCAGGCATATAGATAAAATGAGAGCCTGTGATGCCTAACATACTTCTTGGAATATAGTAGCCACTCAATTAATATTTGTTAAGTGAAAAAAATGACTTAATGAGAAGAATGTAAAGAAGGAGTAAGAAAATAACGTATTTTGAGACCTATATGATATTGCATTGATTCTTACATATATATATATATATATATATATATATATATATATATAAAACTTAATCTAGATGGGATATTTAATCCGCACCTAAAAAGGGGAAAAAAATCAAAATTCTGTTACCTTGTGAATTGATTGAAAGTGATTTAAAGATGTGCTTTACTGATAACCTGCATAGAAATTATATGTTGAAATGTGATTTCCTGGTACTTTTGGCATGATTGCATGAATCATGTGTTCCTATTATTTTCTAACCATCTTCTATTTTTTCTTAATCATAAAATATGGAGAAGGAAAAACTATACTATATTTTACAGATGGTAAAAGACCAAGACAAAGAAGGTAAAGTGAGTTACCCAAGGTCATATAGCAAGTACATTCATACAAAACTGTGAAAATAGTCATACTTCTACATGAAGGCACTAGGTTAAGGTTTGCTAATCACAGCAAACTGTAATGGTGGTGAAACTCTACAACACATTGGAATTAATTTAGATTATGCAGTTTAGGTGCATAAGGAATGATCACACTGGCTACAAATAAGTGTGGGAGGAAAAGAACTTGGGACACTGAATTTCTTCATATTATTCATTGCCTCTCCTGATTTTTATAATAATCTCTGCACCTTTCTCTGAGTAGTCAAAGAGTAATTTCTTTCTGGAAGGTGGCCTTGATGAAAAATGGAGTCGTGTGTGTGTGTTATTAATTTCACGTGACAGGCTGGAGGTGATTATTAAAAACACCAGGGATGCTTCAAGTGTGAAATAAATGTGCACACAGAGTGACCTTAGCTATCAGTAAGGCAAAATAAAAAGAGCACTGCTATAAGCCGAGTGTTTCTACGTCCCCAAAATTCACATGTTGAAATCCTCACCCCCAATACGATGGTATTAGGAGGCTGGGGCTTGGGGAGGTGATTAGGCCCTGAAGGTAGAGCCTTTATGAATGAGATTAGTGCCCACACAGCAAGAAAGCATCATCTATGAATCAGAAAGTGGGTCCTCAGCAGACACTAAATCCACTGTCACCTTGATCTTGGACTTCCCAGCCTCCAGAACTGTGAGCAATACATTCCTGTTGTGTATAAGACACTCAGTCTATGGTATTTTGTTATAGCCGCTGAATGAACTAAGACAAGCATATTTTGGAGAGGAAAAGCAATGAGTGACCTCTGGGGAGAAAGAAGATAACATTTTATTTTCTTCCTTTGCCATATAGAGTAGGTTGGGAATCTTGTCCCTAAATCCTTTATAGTCAGAGGTCAGCTCTTGTGAAAGAATCAGGTTTTTCCATTGTTTCTTCTGATGCTGGCATTTTGTTGAGCAAGGATAGGGGAACAATCGTGTGGCTCTTCTGGAAGTACTTCTGCCCAGAGCATAGCGTTGTTTCTCAGTATCTGCAGGGAATTGGTTCCAGGATTCCCCTCAGATACCAAAATCTGGAGATGCTCAAGTCTCTTATATAAAACGGCATAGGATTTGCCATTGTGTATATGGGCACATACTCCCATATACTTTAAATCATCTCTAGATTACTTATAATACCTCATACAATGTAAATGTTATTGAAATAGTTGTTGTGCTCTATTGTCTTATTAGATTGTATTTTTTTTTCATTGTACTGTCATTTTAATTTTTCTTCTTATTTTTGGGATATTTTGGTCCTTGGTTAGTTGAATCCGTGGATGCATGGATGCCAGTGTGGAGGGAGGGCTGACTGTGTTTGCTTTTCCTTCCTTCACCTTCCCATCTGCCACCCCCACTCTCCACAGAGCTGAGCTGTGGTTACTTCTTCACTTTGCCTTCAGCCAAGAGATAAAAAACGGTTTATTTTTTCCAAACTTTGAGATTCAGATGCCATTGCTTCTCCCCTTAAAGGAGAACTTTCAGTGAGAAGTATCTTATCTTGTATCTTCCTCAAAATGGAAAAAGCATCTTGGGAAATATGCAAAGTAGGAAAATATTCAAGGAAACTATGAGTTTCACTCTAAACATCACCATCAGAACTGTTCATTAAACTGGGAGTAAGATCATGGCATCACAGAATATTTATTTTTGTATTTATTATTTAATTTATTTATTTGTTTGTTTATTTTGGACAGAGTCTCACTCTGTCGCCCAGGCTAGAATGCAGGAGCATGATCTCGGCTCACTGCAACCTCCACCTCCCAGGTTCAAGTGATTCTTGTGCCTCAGCCTCAAAGTAGCTGGGATTGCAGGCATGTGCCACAACCTTGGCCAAACTGGCTTTGAAATCCTGACCTCAGGTGATCTTCCTGCCTCTGTCTCCCAAAGTGCTGGGATTACAGACGTGAACCATCACGTCTGGCCCATAGAATTTTTAAATGGCAGAGGATCTTCAAAGTTATCGGATCCAACCTTTATCCTAAAGTGGAAATCTCATGTTTAAAATCTGGCTTGAATACTTCCAGTGTTGGTGGGAATGCTTTTGTTCATGTCACCTCACTGGCTTTTATGGATCTCTAATTGATATAAGTCTCTGCCTTCAAACTCTGCCTGGAGCAAATAGGTATATAAAACATTTCTGTAATCTCAGCACTTTGGGTGGCTGAAGCGGGAGAATCACAGGGGCAGGAGGTCGAGACCAGCCTGGCCAACATGGTGAAACCCCGTCTCTACTAAAAATACAAAAAATTAGCTGGGCATGGTGGCAGGCACCTGTAATCCCAGCCACTCGGGAGGCTGAGGCAGGAGAATCGCTTGAACTGAGGAGGCGGAAGTGGAAGTGAGCCGAGATCGTGCCACTGCATTCCAGCCTGGGCGACAGTGCGAGACTCCATCTCAAAAAAAAAAAAAGTTTCATCGACACCCAAGGCTGAGGTGGGAAAACAGGAACAGGAAGAATGAACACGAACACACACACACACACACACACACACACACACACACACCATCCTGCCCTGCCAACACATACTGACTCACATCAGTTGTTCCTTTGGGACGTTAAGATTTTAAGAAAGAAAAGGCAGCAAGAAAATGAAAGAGGAGAAATGATCTTCTGTATGTTCCTGCAACCTCAACGAGTTCCAGGGTTCCTTTGCCCAACAGGCGGCTGTGGGGTTGGCTAGCTGGCTGGTAGCGCTGTGCTGCAGGCTTGTTGCTGCCGTGAGGAAAAACAGATTTCAAATACCAAGTTTAGCATCCCTCCATGCTATCTTGAAAATACAGCCACATAAACAGCACTTATCGAAGCAGGCCCAGGACAGCACATCCACAGAGATGATTAGGCTTCTGCTGAGGAGTGCTGGCTCTTTGAAAGCAGTCACACAGCAGGTTAACACCCTGCCTCCATGCTGCTCAGTGAAACGTTGCATTTATGGCTTCCCAAGGAAGGGGGAATCTTTATGTAGGTTTACAAAGCTGCTTCCGTGAACCGCAGTAAGTAATAATGGATCAGGTTTTTGGCCCAACATCACTGTGAAACTGTGAGACTAGTAGTAGTGGGTCTTACCTGCAGTGTATTTGGATGTGTGTGCCTGTGCGTATCCACATGTGTGTGTGATGGATGCGTTTGCAGGAAAAGTTTGGTATAAACAGCAGAGAAATAAACAACATATGCGCCAGCACATGTATGTCAATTTGGATGAGGATTTGAATTTTTTAACAGGAGACACTGTTGTTCAGCTTCCAGAAGTACTCTGTTTGAAAATGCTCATATATATATATATATGAAGAACAAACTAGAAAAGCTAGATTTTTACTATAAAAGCTAGTAAAATCTTTACATTACTGCCTTAGTCCACTCAGGCGGCTATAAGAAAATATCATGGGCTGAGTGGCTTATACACAATAGAAATGTATTTCTCAGAGTTCTGGAGGCTGGCAAGTACTAAGATCAAGGCACTGGCAGATTTAGTCACCAGTGAGGTTTCATTCTCTGGTTCACAGATGGTTCCTTCTCGCTGTATTTTCACATGGCAGAAAGGACAAGCAATCTCCCTCAGGCCTCCTTTATAAGGGCACTAATCTCATTCATGAGGCTTTGCCCTCATGATCTAATCAACTCTTGAAGCCCCCACCTCTAAATACAGTGGTGATTTCATTTCAACATATGAATTTCTAGGGGGGACACAAACATTCAGACCATAGCAGTGGTAGTATTTCACATAAATAAGTGGTTTAATTCTACTAAAGGTACATCCCTCCTTGCTTGCAGATATGGTTTGGCTGTGTCTTCACCCAGATCTCATCTTGAATTCCCACATGTTGTGAGAGGGACCTGGTGGGAAGTGATTGAATCATGGGGGCAGGTCTTTCCCATGCTGTTCTTGTGATAGTGGATGAGTCTCATGAGATCTGATGGTTTTAAAAAGAGGAGTTCCCCTCCACAAGCTCTCTTTTTGCCTGCCACCATCCATGTAAGACATGACTTGCTCCTCCTTGCCTTCTGCCATGATTGTGAGGCTTCCCTAGCCACATGGAACTGCAAGTCCAATTAAACCTCTTTCTTTTGTAAATTGGCAAGTCTCAGGTATGTCATTATCGGCAGCATGAAAATGGACTAATACAGTAAATTGACCAGTAGAGTGGGGTATTGCTGAAAAGATACCCAAACATGTGGAAATGACTTTGGAACTGGGTAACAGGCAGAGGTTGGAATAGTTTGGAGGGCTCAGAAGAAGACAGTAAAATGTGAGAAAATTTGGAACTCCCTAGAGACTTGTTGAATGGCTCTGACAAAAACGCTGATAGTGATAGGAACAATAAGATCCAGGCTGAGGTGGTCTCAGATGGAGATGAGGAACTTGTTGGGAACTGGAGCAAAGATGACCCTTGTTATGTTTTAGCAAAGAGACTGGCAGCATTTTGCTCCTGCCTGAGATATTTGTGGAACTTTGAACTTGAGAGAGATGATTTAGGGTATCTGGCGGAAGAAATTTCTAAGTAGCAAACCATTCAAGAGATGACTCAGGTGCTGTTAAAAGCATTGGGTTTTATGATGGAAGTAGAGCATAAAAGTTTGGAAAATTCGCAGCTTGACAACATGATAGAAAAGAAAATCCCGTTTTCTGAGGAGAAAATCAAGCTGGCTGCATAAATTTGCATATGTAAGGAGGAGCTGAATGTTAATTACCAAGACAATGGGTAAAATGCCTCCAGGGCATGTCTGAGGTCTTCACGGCAGCCCTTCCCATCACAGGCCTGGAGGCCTAGGAGGAAAAGTGGTTTCATTGGCCAGGCCCAGGATTCCCATGCTGTCTGCAGCCTAGGGACTTGTCCTTCATCCCAGCCACTCCAGCCATGGCTGAAAGGGGTCAACGTAGAGCTCAGTCCATTGCTTTACAGGGTTAAAGCCTCAACCTTTGGCAGCTTCCACATGGTGTTCAGCCTGAGAGTGCACAGAAGTCAAGAATTGAGGTTTGGGAAACTCTGCGTGGATTTCAGAAGATGTATGGAAATGCCTGGATGTCCAGGCAGAAGTCTGCTACAGGGGCAGGGCTTTCATGGAGAAGCCCTGCTAGGGTAGCGCAAAAGGGAAACGTAGGTTCAGAGCCCCCACACAGAGTCCCTACTGGGGCCTTGCCTAGTGGAGCTTTGAGAAGGCCACCATCCTTCAGACCTCAGAATGGTAGATCCACTGACAGCTTGCACTGTGCACCTGGAAAACCTGTAGGCACTCAGTGCCAGCCCACGAAAGCAGCCAGGAGGGAGGTTGTACCCTGCAGAGCCACAGGGGTGGAGCTGCCCAAGACCATGGGGACCCACGTCTTGCATCAGCATGACCTAGATGTGAGACATGGAGTCAAAGGAGATCATTTTGGAGCTTTAAGATTTGACTGCCCTGCTGGATTTTGGACTAGCATGGGGCCTGCAGCCCCTTTGTTTTGGCCAATTTCTCCCACTTGGAACAGCTGTCTTTACTCAATGCGTGTACCATCACGGTGTCTAGGAAGTAACTAACCTGCTTTTGATTTTACAGGCTCATAGGTGGAAGAGACCTGCCTTATCTCAGATGAGACTTTGGACTGTGGACTTCTGAGTTAATGCTGAAGGCATGATTGGTTTTGAAATGTGGGTACATGAGATTTTCCAGGGGCCAGGGGCATAATGATATGGTTTGTCTGTATCCCCACCCAAATCTCATCTTGAATTGTAGTTCCCATAATTCCCACGTGGTGTGAGGGACCCTATGGGAGGTAATTGAATCATAGGGGTGGTTACCCCCATGCTGTTCTTGTGATACTGAGTTCTCAAGAGATTTGATGGTCTGTAAGGGACTTTTCCGCCTTTGCTTGACACTCACTCCGTCCTGCCACCCTATGAGGAAGATGCCTTCTTCTCCTTTGTCTTCCACCATGACTGTAAGTTTCCTGAGGCCTCCCAAGCAATGCAGAACCATGAATCAATTAAACCTCTTTCCTTTATAAGTTACCCAGTCTCAGGGTTTCTTCATAGCAGTGTGAGAATGGATTAATACAGTGAATCTGTAGTGGCCCAGGGATCTGCATTTGAGTGTGGCATTTGTGACAGTTACAGCACGTGGGGATTCCCAGCTCCTTGTCCCTGGCTTGGCTAGGCAGATTTGAACTGCCTCATGGCTGTTTTCTCCTGGGCTGGCCCTCTTAGGAAGCTTCAGATGAGTCTTTATTCCTTTCTTCCCCTCACTCCTCATCTCATTCTCCCAATCAGTAGAGAATTTAGACGGTTAGCAATTCATAACTCCAATCTGAGTAAAGAACATCTACTAAAAAACGCCTGTATGGACAGGTTCTTAGAGTAATTGCACTCCTCTGGGTTAGGGAGAGCTGCTCAGATGACTTTAGGGAAACTGGAAAAAACTTTTACATTTTTATGCTGTTTGGGGTGAAGGTGGTGGGAATTGTCTCCTACTGCAAGTGAGTACAAAGCAAGGTAGAGGGTGACAAGTCCTTGTGAAAAGCCCAAAGTGCTACAAGATCAGAGGTGAACAGGCACTAGTGGGTAATGTTGTGTCAAATATGTCTGAAGAAACTACTTTAAGTTAATCATTAGCACTAACCATTTGTTTTATGCATAAAAGTGCTGGTCTTAGGTTTCACAAAGGAGTTTTGCTTATCTCCTGTATCAGAGTCCCAGCAAAAAGGAGAAGACACACTTGAAAAATGAGAGTTAAAGATGCTCTGTCCAGATTGGGCATAGTGGCTCATACCTGTATTCTCAGCATTTTGAGAGGCCAAGGCAGGAGGATTGCTTGAGCCCAAGAGTTCAAGACCAGCCTAGGTCACATAGGAAGTAGGAAGACCCTGTCTCCACAAAAAATTTAAAAATTAGCCAAGCATGGTGGCACTTGCCCGTAGTCCTAGCTACTCAGCAGGCCAAGGCGGAAGCATCACTTGAGTCCAGGAGTTCGAGATCAGCCTGGGCAACAAAGTGAGATGCTATCTCTATTCTATTTAAATAAATAAATAGTTAAAAAGAAGCTCTCTCCAGAAGGGTTGACAAGGTTAAGGGACCCATCAGTGGGTGGAGAAGAATAAGGGACCAGTCACCCAAAACAGCCCTTACCATCTCTAACCCTGAAGGTATGAGAGGAGGGAGCTCCTGGTAGGAGCTTTCAAGTGTATTCAGCCCCTGGAAAGGGTCTGCTTGGCCAGAATTAAAAACTAGGCAGGGAAAGGCAGTGGCTACTTCCAAACTGCAGCCCACAGTGAGGGAGCAGAGGAAAAATGCTCTTCAATGTTGCTCTCTACCTGCCTGTGTCTCCATCCGAAGCCAGACACAAGGGATCCTGGTACAAAGTCAGCCTCCAGAGCACAGATGAGGGGAGACAAGAGAGAAGAGCAGGTCTGGAGGGCCATCAGGAACATCCAGCAGGCTCTTCCTCTGCAGGGCTGTTCACATAAAGGGGTAGCACACAGAAACAGGACAATTATTGGGTGCCATTCTCTAAAAGAATCCATGCAGGCTGACACCTAGGTGATGGTTATAAACACCAAGACAATACTCTTAAGATCAGAAGAGTTTTTTTCTAAGTTGGGGATTTATAGTGACAAGAAAAGATCAGTTGCGAATAGTCAAATGAATGTATTTTGAAATGAATGCTTTATTAGAAAGCATGGCATAAATGCATGAAAAGACGATGAACATCAGTCGTTGTTAGGGAAATGCAAATCAAAACAGTGAGATACCACTAAACACTCAGAACAATGGTTATAATAAAAAAGACAGACAACAAGGAATGTTGGCCAGGATGTGAATAAGACCCCCTCACACTTGCTGATGGGAATATAAGGTGGTGCAGCCATTTTGGAGAATGGTTTGGCAGTTTCTTAAAAATGTCAACCTAAGTTGACCATTTGATCCAATGATTCCACTTTCAAATATCCACTATTTACCCAAAGGAAATAAAAACATATTTCTATCCAAAGAATAGCACATTAATGTTGGCTGAAGCATGATTCACAGTTATTTCTAAAGTGGAAACAACCCTAACTTGTGTCACAACTGGTAAATGGATAAACAAAATGTAGTACATTAGTACAATGGAATGCTATCTGGGAAAGAAATAGAGGAAGAATAGAAGGAAGGAAGGAAGGAAGGAAAGAAGGAAGGAAAGATGGGGAGGAAAGGAGAGTGGGAGGAAGAAAAGAAGGAAAGAGAAGGGAGGGAGAGAGGAAGGAAGGGAGGAAGAAAGGAAGGAAAGAGAGAAGAAGGGAGGGAGAGAGGAAGGAAGGGAGGAAGATGGGTGTGAATGAGGAAGGGAACAATCTACTGACGCATGCTACAACATAGATGAACCTAAAAAAAAAATCTGCCAAGTAAAAGAAACCAGACACATATTGTGTGGTTCCATTTATATGAAATGTTCAGAAAAGGCCAATCTGTAGTGACAGAATTTTGAGACATTTTAAATTTTTTATAATGTCTCCCTTCTCGTTGGTCCTGGAATTGAGTGTTACTGATTGTTTTGTATCATGTATTACAGAAAAAAGCCTGGAGTTTGTGATTTGCTTAATGCCTGGTGCGTTTGTTTAGCTTTAATCTGGATTATGGGGATTTGTTATATTTTTTAAAAAAAGCATATATTATGAGGAAAACCATGGAAAGCTGTTAACAAAAATGAAGATAGCAAAAAATGGAAATAGCCCTCAAAGCTTTTAAAGAAATATTTTTGAAGAGAACTTCTAATCATAAATGGAAAGGGTCGAGATGAGGATTAAACAGAGGATATAGACAATAAGCAAGACAGGTGAAATAGAGGAGGCACCGGCTACGCAATCACCTTAATTCTCAAACTCTTAAGTATCCATGGCTCTGCTACAGCTGGACCAAGACAACAGATGTGGTACTTCCAGTAACCAAGTTCCACAGAAGCCAGGCGTGTGTGCAGTGGACTCCCCCTGAGGGCTGCATGCTGTGTGGCATTCGTGTTGCCCTCTTTACTCTCCCCTATACACATGTGAGGTGCTTGGCTCCATGTGTTCAGCTGTGTTCAGCTGGTTCCTGATCCTGAAGATATTCCTCTCCTCTCTTTCCTGCATCCTTTCCAACTCCTCACTGAAGATCCCCCCACAATTTTGGTTGACTGTGACATCTCCCATTTCTGATACCTGTATCACTTACCTGTGTTATAACTTTTGGTTCTTGATTATATTAAATTTAGGGCTTGATTATGGTTTAGTTTGTTATTCCCTAATTTCCTCTTTTTTTTTTTTTTTTTGTTTTTGAGATGGAGTCTTGCTCTGTTACCCAGGCTGGAGTGCAGTGGCATGATCTCAACTTACCGCAACCTCCACCTCCCGGGTTCAAGTGATTCTCCTGTCTCAGCCTCCCAAGTAGGCTGGGATTACAGGCACCTGCCACCACACCCGGCTAATTTTTGTATTTTTTGTAGAGATGGGGTTTCACCATGTTGGCCAGGCTAACCTTGAACTCCCGACCTCAGGTGATCTGCCCGCCTCAGCCTTCCAAAGTGCTGGGATTACAGGCGTGAGCCACGGTGCCCGGCCATTATTCCCTAATTTCTTTGTGTTTATTCATATGATCTTTTCACATGAAGGCCTTCAAGTTCCTTTTGGGTAGCATGTAAGCACACACCTTTGTAACTCATTAGAAGCAGTGATATGATTTGTAGTATTTGCCAGTTGCTTTGGTATAGATACTCCTGCCATTGCCAATTTCAAGCTATCCATTGTTTAACAGCTTCTCACATAATTCCTGAAAATTTAAGGATCAGCTCCTTTGAGCAGGTGTGTGCCAGCTCCAGCACATACTGCATCCTGAATTGAGCCTAATGTGACTGGCATCCAGCAGCCTGCTAGGACAGCCTGAGTTGGCCTGTGATGGAAGTTGTGGCAGTTGAACATTCAGGATCTGATAATGAATATAAAATTTGGGGGCTCAAAGTCATAAAACACCACAAGTAAGCGCTTACATATTTATATTCCCTAAAACAACAATAAAAGGAACACAATGAATAAAGATATCAATAACATTCTACATATCTTAAATCATTAATAATAGGTTCAGTGTTGTTAATTTGGTTATAATTCATAATTATAATTCATTAAAGTTTTTTAATGTAGACTTTGTGTCACTTTCTGATTGTAGCCTTAGAAATGCAAAGACCTGGGAAACATAAATTTCCCTCAAGGAGCTCACAGCAGGAGAGAAAGAAAAGGAAAAAAAAATGCCAATAAAATACGGTCTTTGATAGTACAACATTGAACAACATAGATCCCAGAGTTGAGGGGAGAGAGGAAGGAGTAGGAATGAATAAGGATAAACTTCCTGATGATATGATGCCTAAACAGAGCCCTCAGGGACCATACATCCCTTAGAAATGTCTTCCTCAGCTAAGGTGGCCACAGCAGCTGAATGTAATGCACATTGTTTAAGAATTAGCTTTATAATAGAATTTTGCGTTTGCTTCAGTAGGCATCATCCAATGATGATGCAAGCCACCAACAGATTAACAGAAAGCTCATCTTCATGGCTTCTTTGGTGCCCTTCTAGCTCTAACATATGAAAATTACACATTTTTTAATGCAAAGGAAGGGGAACATAGCCTGGACGCCAAAGCATTGTGAACACTAAGCAAGAATAATATGATGCTCATTTGTAATTTTTTTTACATGTGAAATCACAAATGCACTTGAGCTGAACTAAGGCAGTGTCCAAAAGAACTGAAAATGAAATCAAGGTAGGAACAAAACACGTAATCTTCTTTGTTCTCTGCAAAAGAGAAGATAGCCATCTTCAGGTTTCCAGATGGTTTTGTTCTGCCATCACCCGGCCTTTCGTGGGTGGTGCCTAGGAGCTTTGTGACTATAGCTCAAGATCGGTGCGCAGTGCCACGTGGCCCCTCACTGTGGGACTGTGCTGTGGCCACACAAGGCAGGAGAGTGCTCCAGAGTGACACTCCCCTCTACCCCATGAACATCCCCCCCCTTATCTCCAAAACACTAGGGCAGGTTTTCACAAGGTGCCATCCAATGAAAGTCTCCACTGTGATTCCTTGTGGAAAGGGTGAAGACCAATGTTCAAAGATGAGGATTCCTGGACCCCACCTTAGAAAAAGACTCAGTCAGAATCTCTGGGAGCTGGGCCTTGAAATCAGTATTTTTATCAAGCTCCTGAAGTAATGAGGAGCTTAGCACAGTGTCTGACACTGCAGACTGTCTATACATGTTTTTTAATTGAACAAAACTTATCTTTCCTCCACCATCTACCCTCACCCACTTGAAAGAGCTTCACCTACCGGCTAGTGAAGGAGGGATGTGGTGGACGATAGATCTGATTTGATACATTTTATTTCCTCTTAAAAAGACTCATATATTGTTTGTAACACTGTCTTTTATTGTCCACAGTCAACAAATTTTCTCATTTTTCAAATATGTCTTTCTTAGAATAACAAACTAGTTTTTTTTTTTTTTTTGTCATTATCATGTAACCACCCAAGGGATTCGTCCTGTCACTGCATAAAGAAAGGCTACTGGTCAGGTGGCTGAGGCAGGACAATTGCTTGAACCCGGGAGGCGGAGGTTGTGGTGAGCTGAGATCCCGCCATTGCACTCTAGCCTGGGCAACTCTGTCTCAAAAAAAAATAATAAAAAAAGGCCACTGACATTGTAGTAGAGAGTTTAATAGACACGAGGCCGGCCACACCACGTGGGAGAAGGAGTTCCCACTCAGATCATCTTGTTCAAAGCTCTTTGGTTAGGGGTTTTTCAAGGGCAGGTTTTTTTCCACAAGAGCCTGCCAAACCTGGGAGCCCCAGAGTTTAGTATCCTTTCTCCCTAGGTAAACCCAGTGCCATTATTCCCTCAAAAAAGAGTTGCAAAAAGATAGGGGAGGCATCCCGGAAGTGGTGAGTGTAAGGTTCTCAGCTCGAACCCAAGAGCACGCCAACAGACAACACGAGGCCGTGTGGAGCAACATGCTGCTTTTTTTGTTTTTTGTTGTTGTTGTTCAGACGGAGTCTCGCTCTGTCGCCCAGGCTGGAGTGCAGGGGCGCGATCTCGGCTCACTGCAAGCTCCGCCTCCCGGGTTCACGCCATTCTCCTGCCTCAGCCTCCCGAGTAGCTGGGACTACAGGTGCCCGCCACTACATCCGGCTAATTATTTTATATTTTTAGTAGAGACAGGGTTTCACCGTGTTAGCCAGGATGGTCTCCATCTCCTGACCTCGTGATCTGCCCGTCTTGGCTTCCCAAAGTGCTGGGATTACAGGCATGAGCCACCGCGCCCGGCCGCAACATGCTGTTTTAATGAGCGCCTGGGCACAGGCGGTCTGATGCCTAAAATGGCGTCAGCCCCAAATGAGGACAGGACAGGGGTTTTATAGTCCTCTGTAAACAGGAAATGTCCCAGACTGACCTGACTGCTACGTAGTACCCGGACGGCCTCCTTCTCCATCTTCAGAGGTAGGTGTCTTCCGGCCAGGGTAGGTGTCTTCCGGCCGGGGTAGGTGTCTTCCGGCCGGCTGTCGTCCTGCTTCCGCTGTCTTGCTGACCCACGCTGCTGATTACTGTAAGTGGCCTTGCGCCTTGGGACTGGGCCTGAAAGGGGAGGAGTTTCTCATCTCTTCAAGCTTTCAGGCCCCGGGGACAATCTTTCAGTGAGGAACTAGTAAAACTCCTTTTCCTTTCCAGTTATGGTAAATCTTTCCCTCTTCTCAGCACTCTGCTTCAACTCTCTCCCATTCATTTCCCGCAAGCCCCTCCCCTCTCTGGGAAAAAGTAGGGCACTTTCCCTCGTGGGCCTTTTATAAACAACAAGAGTGACTTCCGCTTCTATGGCGTAGGTGTGGGGATAGTCATCTAATATCCATTCTATTCTCAGATTTCTCCAGATTTCCTTCTAATTCAGTATTCAGTCCAGATTCACGCATTACATTTGGTTGTTACCTCTCTTACATCTTTGTAGTATACAATAATAATTGCATTTTATATACATATGTAGGTGTTCAAACACCACACACACACAAACACAATTTACTTTTGGAAGAGTTCAGGCTAATAGTCTAGTAGAAGTCCCACGGCATTCTGTCAGTCTGGATTTGTCATATGGTTTCCCCGTAGTGTCATTTAACTTGGTTTCTTGGTTTCCATATAATTTGGAAGATAGGTCTGGAGCAGCACTGCCCGACAGATCTTGCTGTGAGGATGGCTGTTCTTCGTTGGTGCTACCCAATACAGTAGCCACCAGCCATATGTGAGAGGGCTAGGATGATAGAGGAAAAGAAATTCTAACTTGTTTAACTTAAATTATTCTAAATTTAAATCTAAACAGTCACATGTGGCTAATGGCTACCATATTGGGCAGTGCAGGATGGGATGCTTTATTAGATCCAGGATAGACATTTTGGCAAGGATAGATGATGTCGTGGACTTACTGCTTTCCTTTGCTGGAGGGCATCTCATTCATTCTCTGTCTCCCTTTCTCTCTCTCTTTCTCTCCCTCTGCCTCTCTCTCTCCCTGTTTCTTATTGTGAACTCATGAATGCTTTTTGAAGCTAGTTTTTGAATTCTTTCACATAGTTTGATTTAAATTAGTGTTTGGCACAACAAATTGTCACCAGTTCACCTTGACCAAACCTAAACTTGGTATTAACTGGTTTGTTTTTTGTTTGTTTGTTGTTTCTGTAAGGAATGGTATTTAGAAACCAGGATCAGGGAACTAAATTTGCTTGTTGCTACTGTGTCAATGTTTCTAAACCCTTTCAGTAGAAACCCTAAGGGAAATTACGTTTATAATCTTTGGTTCACACTATATTTTTCAATTCAAATTTAGTATTACAGAAAAATTAAGTGGGAGAAAATTAATATTATGAGTGTTCTTTTTCTTGGTTTCTTTTTTTTTATATTTGTATCTCCTTTCCCTTAGAAAAAAAATTATGGTGGCTAATATTATCAACCTATCTCTTTAGTTTTCTACAATATTGTCTCAAAATTAGAATATCACTACTAACAAACCCATTAATAAATTTAAGGTATGCTTTCAGACCTTTTCTTTTTTTTTTGCCCTTAGACTTATACATCCCATTAAAATGGGTCAAAGAACTATTTTCAAAAATTATTTGAAATAATTATTTTTTTCTCTGTGGTTTATCAAATTGATATATAGTCGATTTCATTTATTGCTGTTTATATTCAATTTTATGTAAAAATGGTTTTTCTCTTATTTCTTATGATTACATTTTCTATTCTTTATAAATGTAAATAAAAAGCATTTCACTTGTATTGTAATTTTTACAATGTACTACAATACAATTATATCACAATTTTTCACAACTTTTTCTGTAGAAAATGTATTCTAGTATTAATAAGTTGAATTGCCGGGCGCAGTGGCTCAGGCCCGTAATCCCAGCACTTTGGGAGGCTGAGGCAGGCGGATTACGAGGTCAGGAGATCGAGACCATCCTGGCTAACACGGTGAAACCCCATCTCTACTAAAAATACAAAAAATTAGCCGGGCTTGGTGGTGGGCACCTGTAATCCCAGCTACTTGGGAGGCTGAGGCAGGAGAATGGCGTGAACCCAGGAGGCAGAGCTTGCAGTGAGCCGAGATTGTGCCACTGCACTCCAGCCTGGGCGACAGAGCTAGACTCCGTCTAAAACAAACAAACAAACAAACAAACAAACAAACAAACAAATAATAAGTTGAATTATTGACAGACCTTAACAGTAAAACCCATTTTTTAACTTTGAGATTGCATGTATTCTGTGAAATTTGAGGCTAATGTACCTCCCCCACCAAAAAAAATGGAAGTACCTCTTCTCCAAAATATGTGTCATGGGCTTTCATGCTGTCCTGTGCACTTGTGACAACTGTATTGATTATTTCGTTGTGGGGTTTGTTTTTTTCCTTTAATTTAAACAAACATTGATGGAAGCATTCCTCTTTGCCAAGTATTTTAGTTCTTGTTAATTACTGATATAGCCTGTAAACTGCATGGGGACAGGGGTCCTGTCTGTCACATCCATCCTGTCATCCCCACTCATAGTACCTCTGGCCCAGCATAGGTGCTCCATAAATGAATATTGAATCATGGATACATGATTAAACAATTCTCTGGGCTCCACTCTCCATGTGGAAATGGGAGAATCATTCAATCAAATCCATGTTACATTCTAACAAAATTCTGATGCATGGCCACCTGGAAAAAAATTGGGCCTCCCTGCACAGTTCTTTTACATTTTAATGATCTCTGTGTATGCCACTTAAACACAAAATAGCCCTCAGGTTTTCAAAGAGGATTAAATTGTGTTTATGGGAGCCTCTCATTAAGGAAAAAGTGATCAGAATACTTGGCTCTTGGAGCCTGGCGGTCCTTTGCGAGACATACCACATGAATAGACTACCACTCTTTCTATTAAGGACAATCCATCACATTTTCCAGTTGGGATGGATGATAATGCCACATTTAGTTTTCTGTATTTTTAAGCATCATCTCTTCTTAACGGGATGTGTAATGTGATTCAAACTGATGTGATGAGGCAGACCATTAACGAAATGTCTTTCAGTCTTTGCTTGATTAATAAATATTTCCTCTGCATTTTATTATGGGCAGCTTGCAGAGGGAGCCAAAGTTTATTGCTTTTTTGTTTTTAATCAGTGAAGTAACATCAGCTATTATGCATAATCAGTTCCAGCTTGTACATTTGTAATGTTTTGATTTAGAATAGTAAAAAGGAAAGAGGACAGTGAAGGCTGCCACGTTATGAGAGAAAATTCTGGTAAATGCATGACAGTTCAGGTGTCTCTCATTTTTGCTTTTTAAATGCTTTTCTACTTTGCCCCCAGCTCCCAGACATATATCTAAAAAGAATATCTTTCTTACACCTACCAATTTTTACCAGTCTTCTACAAACAGTAGTTCTCAAAGTGTGGTTCCCAACCAGCAACATCAGCCAGTGTAGCCTGAGAAATTGTTAAAAATGCAAATTTTCAGGCCCTACATAGTCCCACTGACTTGGCAACTCTGGAAGTTGGGTCCAGCTGTCTGTTTTTACTGGTCCTGTTGGTGATTCTGATGCAAACTCAAGTTGGAAAACTATTGTTCTAGAAAGAGTGAAATAACATCCTCATCTTAATGATTAGATTCAAGTAAATGAGTAGACATTCAAATTCCCTTACATTTCTAAATTGTCATTTGGCTTTTTTTTCCTATGTGCTATGGGTGTTTAGTTTAATTTGAGAATCAATATGACTCATGCATGACACTGGAAAGGTATTTTTATTTTCAAGGTACAGAGAGTAAAGTCTAATGGAGAAAAACACATTTTACTCATTAAAAAAAAATGAATCATGTCATCGGCATAAAGACGTCATTCTTCAAACTGGCGTTAAATAAATCTCTGTAACAAAGTTAATGTGGCTTTCTAAATTGCTGCCATCATCATGATGTTACAGCCAGTTCTTCCAGAGTAGAATTATCTGGCCTCTTGGTTTTTTTTTTTTTTTTTTGTAATTAAGCCTTTTATCCTATTATTTTGCATTTAACTGTTATTAACACATATCATCAAAGATGGATAGGACAGAGAAAGGAGATGTCACCTTTGGATTATATCTGAAAGGGATGTTATAAAAATAAAAAAGAAACCAAACACCAAATCCAATCCTTAGAGGTTCAGATAAGAAAGCAATGCTCAGGGAAGTTAAATGACCTGTAAAATTCAGATATTTTGTGTTTTAGTTCAGTATGTTTTCCACTGTTTGTTATTAGTAATTCTTGTCCCTACTTAGAAAAAGATTTTAGAGTTATCAACTCAGAAATACCTTTTTTTTGGCATGAAGTCATGAGTGAATTTGACCTTAGCATTTTTCTTACTGTCCCTCTTCTCACTAACAGACATGGACAATTGAAAGCTACCTAAAGGATTTGTAGCAGTATTTACTTCCTCAAATGTTGCCAAGCAGAATAGCAAATTCATTCCAGGACATTTTTTAATGTGTCAAAATCATCCTAGTTCTTAAAAGTATCGGAAATGAACAATGGTCCATCATACAGTTAAAAGCATTGGTTCAGAGCCTAGTGTTTTTTTTTTTTAATTTATGTTAATCACTTAAAATAGGTAATTGACTCTCAAATTAATCCCTGGAAAATTAAAGGAACATCTGGTGAAGTATATTATTTTTGGGCTTTTTATCTAAAAGTGGTTACCAAGTGGGTTCTTGCTGGGCTAGAAAAATTCTAACCTCCACTTCCATTTTTTTCTCCTTTTTAAAGTTAGCCAAACAATTTTCATGCCACATAGAAGTTTAATAGCTCCAACTACAATGACACATTGGCAATCTGAAGGATGCACTTGCTTAGCAGTGACAGAAACTTTCTCACTATATCCTTGCCCTAGTAATGGCTTCAGAGAGGTGGAGCATAGTGATGGTAGAATATCAAAATTTGCAATTCTAAAATACTCAGAAGACACTCAGTTACATCTTTAATTTGAAGTAATAGGAATTCTTGAAAAGCAATTTTAAAATAATATTAGATCTCAGATGCACTTTGGTTGATTACCTGAGCCACCTCCCCCACCCCTTTGCTAAGATGCTCCCACGTGCTTTAGGGCAGTGCAGGGGGTTTGTAGAAGGACCAGCAGCATCAGTAACACCTGGAAGTTTTTTGGAAATACAGACTCGTGGGCCCCACCCTATACCTACTGATTTCTGGGCTCCACCCAGAAATCTCGTTTAATAAACTCTCCAAGTAACTGTGGTGCTCACTCAAGTTTGAGAACTGCTGCTCTTTAGGGGGTTGATTATGTCTGTTTTATTCTCTCTGCCGGTGATTATTGGCTTATAAAATATACTTAATGCAATTCTAGCTGTTGTGACCTAAAGAGATTTCTTCTGTGAGGGTGCTGGCGATGCTTTTTTGCTAGTTAGAGGAAGGAAAAGTAAGAGGTTGACGCTATTTTTGCCTTTGGGCACAGGCATGTAAAAATGTGATAATGTCGTGGCTGGGAAGGTCCCATGCTGATGAATGTAGAGTCAGAATACGGAAAGAATCTGACTTAACCAAATCTGAAATCATCCTGCCTCGGGACTTTACTTCATTTTGTGAAATTTAAAAACAAACAAAAAACCTTTTACTGCTTGAAGTGTTTTGAGTTCCGTTTTTTTTTTGTTTGTTTGTTTGTTTCTAGTAGCCAATATCCCCTCAGTGGTACACTTAAACACGCAAGGTCATTTATGGCATTTTGCAAGAAAATCTTATGGTGAATTTCAGTGTTACTTATAGCATGGAGGCTGAGGGTAAGAAGCTCACCTGTTTTTATATCACTTCTGTTTTAAAAACTTTTTCAAAATGTTAGAGGAGTATAATTTGGAGAAATTATCTAAAGTTATGTTTAATTACGTCTCTCCTCCATGCTAATTGTGTATAAATAGTAGTTGTCCTTCCGTTAACATTTTGAAGAAGGGATATCAATATAATAATCAATTTAGTTGTTCAACTGGTATTTAATTTGCTTTCTTTCTAGCCCCAAGGGAGCATATCATTACGGGGTAGGGAAATGTAAATTAATCCAAAGCTAAAATATCTTAAGAGTTATCACCCCTTTGTATGAAATTCCCTACTTATTCCTCTGAAGAGTTTTTTTTTTTTTTTTTTTTTTGCCTATTATTCTGCATGTCCAAATAGCATTTAAATACTCAATTTCTGGGAAGTTGCTTTATAAAATAATTTTGAAATATTTTATAGAGATGTAAATTATTTGTATATATTTACATATATACATATACTGTGTAATTTATATTTTTGACATTATAAAATATTTTCTGAACTTTTTAAATTTATTTATTTATTTTGAGACGGAGTCTCGTTCTTTTACCCAGGCTGGAGTGCAGTGGCACAATCTCGGCTCACTGTAACCTCCGCCCCGGGTTCAAGCGTTTCTCGAGCCTCAGCCTCCCTGGTAGCTAGGACTACATGCTTGCACCGCCACCATGCCAGGTAAATTTTTGTATTTTTAGTAGAGACAGGGTTTTACCATGTTGGCCAGGCTGGTCGCAAACTCCTGATGTCAAGTGATCTGCCTGCCTTGGCCTCCCAAAGTGCTGGGATTACAAGCGTGAGCCACCGCACCTGGCCATTTTTTGAACTTTTTTTTTTTTTTGAGACGGAGTCTTGCTCTGTGGCCCAGGCTGGAGTGCAGTGGCGCAATCTCGGCTCACTGCAACCTCCACTTTCCCGGTTCACGTCATTCTCCTGCCTCAGCCTCCCTAGTAGCTGGGACTAAAGGCGCCCGCCACACGCCCGGCTAATTTTTTGTATTTTTAATGGAGACGGGGTTTCACCATGTTAGTCAGGATGGTCTCGGTCTCCTGACCTCGTGATCCACCCACCTCAGCCTCCCAAAGTGCTGGAATTACAGGCGTGAGCCACCACACCCGACCCATTTTCTGAACTTTTTAGATAACATACTGCTCTATATTTCCTCTTCAAATCTATGCAACTGTACTTTTTTTTCAAGTATACTTTTAAAAGCTCAGTGTTATTATTTTTGGTTGAAATTTATCATCCTCTTATCTTTCTGAAATATACTAAATCATTTGAAGAGAATAATCTCCAAAACTATGTTTTTACATCAAATACATACATCTATATACTAATATTTGTAGTCAACACTATTTAAACTTTTACTTCTATTAATTTCAATTGATAAAATGGAAAGTTATTCTTTTTTTAAATTTTATTATTATTATACTTTAAGTTTTAGGGTACATGTGCACAACGTGCAGGTTTGTTACATATGTATACATGTGCCATGTTGGTGTGCTGCACCCATTAACTCGTCATTTAGCATTAGGTATATCTCCTAACGCTATCCCTCCCCGCTCCCCCCACGCCACAACAGTCCCCGGTGTGTGATGTTCCCCTTCCTGTGTCCATGTGTTCTCATTGTTCGATTCCCACCTATGAGTGAGAACATGCGGTGTTTGGTTTTTTGTCCTTGCGATAGTTTGCTGAGAATGATGGCTGTCGAGTAGGGATTATTGACGGATTTAGTAATTTATTCTTAGCTTCATAGAATTGTGCTTTCTGTATGACTTCAATCCTTAAAATGTGTTGAGACGTGCTTTATCACTAATATATGGTTACTTTTTATATTGTTGTATGTGAGCTTAAAAAATATGTATTCTGAACAAATTGCCCAAACATTTCAAGGATTTTTTATTTGTCAGAATAACTCCTATTTCTACTTCAAGACTCAGTTACCTCCTCAGGTAAGGCTTTCCTGATAGTATCAAGCAGAATTAGATGTTGCTTCTTCTGGATTCTCTCTATGATATTACCTTGACATTGAGTTGAAATTTAAATGTTTATGTGCATATTCTCCTTAGACCATAAGATGCTAAGGCCAAATTTATCTTCTAAATTACCTTTACTACTGTACCTAATCTAATACCGTACCTTTCACATAGTGGGCACTTGGAAAGTGTTTCTGGAATGAAGGAAGGAAGGAAAGAAAGAAGTGAACAATAGTATGGTGATATATTAGGTTTAATTATATGCCTAGGACTCTACAAGGTTGGTTTCTATAGTTAGGCAATGCTGTCACCTAGACCAAAAAAAAAAAAAATCAACTTAAGGTTGCTAAATAAAGAATGCACAATTCGAAAAGGAGAAATAATTATAGCTAACATTTATGTAGCATTTCTCTGTACCGGGCACTTTCCTAACCTCTCTAGTGGGTGTATGGGGGGCTGGAGGTAGGAGGGGTAAACTCATTTGATCCTCATAATAACTCCGTGAGAAGGATATTGTTGTATTTAGCACATCTGTTTTTCAGATGCTGAAGCTGAGGCAACAAAATGCTGAGTAACTTTCCCAAGGTCAGTAACTAGAGAGTAGCAGAGCTGCGCATTTGACCCAAGCAGGCTTGATCTAGAGCCCGTTGCATGAACTCCCATGCCCCATTACAGAGCAAAAAATATAAATGGGGCCAGGCACTGTGGCTTGTACCTGTAATCCCAGCACTTTGGGAGGCCAAGGCGGGCGGATCACCTGAGGTCGGGAGTTCGAGACCAGCCTAACCAACATGGAGAAACCCCATCTCTACTAAAAATACAAAATTAGCCGGGTGTGGTTGCGCATGCCTGTAATCCCAGCTACTCAGGAGGCTGAGGCAGGAGAATTCCTTGAACCCGGGAGGCGGAGGTTGCATTGAGCCGAGATTGCACCACTGCACTCCAGCCTGGCAACAAGAGCGAAACTCTGCCTCAAAATAATAATAATAATAATAAATAAATAAATAAATATAAATGGGAAACCTCAATTATTCCCATTTCAAAGAGCAAAAGCTGCCACATTTGAAAACTCTTTGTAAGGCAACGTTATCTTCTAACTCTAGAACGGGGTCACCAAGACTCCAGGTCGCAGCTTAGCTTCTTCTCTGTGCTCCCTGTGGGCAACCTTGGGAGTCACTTAACTTCCATCTCTCTGGGCTCCATCTGCGCACTGGAGATAAGGGCATTTTTTCCTCTCATTGGGGGAAGCTGCAAGGATTACTGAAATAATGTCTGAAAGCACTTTCAGTTCCTAAGAGGAAATAAGATCGAGGTAGAAAAAAGGATTTAATGTATGCCTGCCCTGATCCTTTATAAATTAGATAGGGAGTATCTCAGCCCCAGGCTGCTTCTGTACAGGGTCACCCTGAAGAGGACCTTACTTAGAGTAATAAATATTTACACACTTATTATTTTCTAAGCACCTACTATGCATCTAAATTAGTTTAGAAAAAGAGAGTGTTTTTTTTGTTTTAGCAACTGGCATGATAATTTTTTTCTAACTAGAGAAGTGCCTTTGTTGGGCAAATTCCTTGCAGAGCATATTTAGGATAGAAGCTGAAAGCTGAGTGGGAGGGATGCTGTTCTGTGGGAGAGCAGAGGAGGAACCCTTGGTTTTCTGTGGATCAAAGGGAGGATGAATTCAGCGTGTGTGTGTGTGTGTGTGTGTGTGTGTCCATGTCTTTGTGCATGTCGGGTATCTAGATGATTGGAGGAAAAAGGGTCAAAGACCTAGAGAAATTGGAATACTGTGCAGTGAGATATAGCCCTCTCATTGTTATCCCCTTAAATATTACATGAATTCTAGGAAACCTCATAAAATGCTTAGAGCGAGTAGCATTGTTATGGAGACTGGTGGAAGAACTGAGTTTGGACTCTGCATGGTGCAGGCCCAGAAAATGACCGCCTGTGTGGATAGAGCTAAGCCATGAAAAGAATGACCACAAATCTCCAGTTGGCTTAAGACTTCTTCACACTGTCCAATGGGAGGGTCAAAGCAATCCTACATATACCATGAGGACACAGAGTCCCCAGCTGACATCTAGATTATAGCTCATGAAGTAAAAGGGCATGACCGTGCAAAACAACCTGCCATCCCAAGTAGTATTTTCTGCCTAATGTCTTGGGAGGGAGCAAATGCTTTAGTCTCCAAGGGAGGCCTCACACTTCTGTATATAACCAAGTTTCTTCAGGCCTCAGCAGTTAGTACAGAGAGAATCCATTGATGAGTAACAAGTTCGCTGGCTTTTGCCTCTGCCTACCTGCAGCGCCTACAGTGTCCTATCACTACTTCCATAGCTCTCCTGGGAGGTCCCGAGATATGTCTCACATGTCCACACAATTGGCTCAGCTCCCAGGGGGCCCTTCCTGTTTCTGCTGGTGACCAAATGGGCCCCGTGCACTGGGCATCTCCTGCCACGATTCAGGTCCCAGCAGACACCACTCTGCAGGAAGCCCAGAATGGTTCTAAAGCATTACTGCTGGCTTCCATCTAATGCCTCCACAGTTTTAATAGAACCGCCTTGTACTAAAGGTAGACGTTTTCCTTTGAATGCCATCCCTAACCCTCTATCCCAGCCTTAAGAGGGAATAGGGCTATCCTCAAAACCACTCTTCCATCTGTTGACCAATGCTTTTATAAAGCTTGATAGAAGAAAACAAAAATGCATTTTCTGGTTCTTGTTTTCTTTCTTTTTTATTTTTTTCAAAGAGACAGGGTCTCTCTCTGTCACCCAGGCTGGAGTGCAGTGGTGCAATGGAGTTCACTGCAGCCTCAACCTCCTGGGCTCAAGCGATCCTCCCACTTTAGCCTCCCAGGTAGCTGGGACTATAGGCGTGCAGCACTATGTCTGGCTAATTTTTTTTTTTTTTCTAGAGACGAGGTCTCACTAATGTTGCCCAGGCTGATCTTGAACTCCTGGTCTCAAGCAGTCCTCCCGCCTCGGCCTCCCAAAGAGCTGGAATTAGAGGCTTGAGCTACCATGCCCATCCTGGTTCTTCTTAAGAGGGATACTCTCTAAGCACATCCCTGGCTTTTCCCCACCCCTTTATTAATGCTTGACCTAAGAAATTGGAGTGATTCATTTCATCAGTAACTTTCAGAAAAATATCTGAGTATGTTTGGTTCATTTTTCTTCCTCTTTTGGTCAAACTTTCGCCAAAGGGAACACATTCTCCTGCTTCTCCAGGGGCAGGCCCTCTTCTAAGGTGAGGGTGGACAGCATGGCGGGGATACCCAGTCCCATGCTACCATGACTAGGACATAGGTCTGCATCATTCTGGGTTGAGCATTATTCTGGGCTTATTTGATACCAAAACCTAAAGCCATGTTCTCTTTTCTTTTCTTTTTTTGAAATGGAGTTTCACTCTCGTTGCTCAGGCTGGAGTGCAATGGTGCAATCTCAGCTCACCACCACCTCCGCCTCCCGGGTTCAAGTGATTCTCCTCCTTCAGCCTCCCGAGTAGCTGTGATTACAGGCATGTGCCACCACAGCTGGCTAATTTTTGTATTTTTAGTAGAGACGGGGTTTCTCCATGTTGGTCAGGCTGGTCTCAAACTCCCGACCTCAGGTGATCCACCCGCCTTGGCATCCCAAAGTGCTGGGATTACAGGCGTGAGCCACCGTGTCCGGCCCATGTTCTCTTTTCTTGCCCCTGAGCCTTTGAGTGATTGTATCTTAGGGAGAATCCACTTGCCAGGATGTGGGTCATAATTAGAATGGTGGGAATAGTGGCATTGTCTCTGCTTCACCCAGCCATAACTGCCTGAACTAAGGCAGTTATTTTATGGACAGAAAGGAGCAGCTGGGTTGGGGAGGCCTTGGTGAGGTAGATAGGCTGATTAAATAATGAATGAGTGATGAAAAAGAGGGAGCTGCTGGTCCAGCCACACTGAAGTCCTCAGAGCCAAGGGTGTTGCTGAGGCTAAGGACCTGGGGTCTGCAGCAGGGCAGGCTCTGGGGCAAGTCATCAAAAAGCCCTGATTGACACCACCCCTGTTGATGTCCTCTAGGGTTCCTGAGCACTTGTGAGAGTAGCTATGTTGAATTCCAGAGGTCTCTGTGATTGCACAAGAGCAGGAAATTTCCCTCATTTATTCATGTGTCTGACAATCACTTATCAAGCACCTATGTTTACAGATGGTCCCCAACTTAATGTGGTTCGACTTAGGATTTTTCAACTATACCGTGGTGTGAAAGAGATACACATTCAGTAGAAACCGTATTTTGACTACCCATATGATCACTGTGTTTTTCACTTTCAGCATAGGAGTCAACAAATCAAGTGGGACATTCAACACTTTATTATAAAATAGGCTTTGTCTTAGATTCTTTTGTCAAACTGTAGGCCAATGTAAGTGCTCTGAGCACAGTTAAGGTAAGACTAGACTAAGCTATGATGTTCGGTAGGTTAGGTGTTTTTTTTTTTTTTTTCTTTTTGTGATGGAGTTTCTCTCTTGCTGGCCAGGCTGGAGTGCAATGGCGCGATCTCAGCTCACTGCAATCTCTGCCTCTCGGGGTTCAAGTGATTCTCCTGCGTCAGCCTCCCAAGTAGCTAGGGTTACAGGCATGCACCACCGTGCCTGGCTAATTTTTTATATTTAGTAGAGATGGGGTTTCACCATGTTAGTCAAGCTGGTCTCAAACCCCTGATCTCAGGTGATCCACCAGCTTGAGCATCCCAAAGTTCTGGGATTACAGGCATCAGACACCATGCCCAGACAGTTAGGTGTATTAAATGCATTTTTACTTACAATATTTTCAACTTATGATGAGTTTATCAGGACATAACCCTGTGGTATCTGTGGTACACACTAGGCATCCAGATTGGGGAGAGTAACGAGAATGCTAAATAGAAGGTATAGGTACTAACTACAGATCACATATTCATTTAATTTTTCACTCTCTACTCCTTCAGCTTGCCAACAGGATGAATGAAGTGCCAAGGGTTGAATTACTTTTGCGTGAACTTACTGAACAATGTCACTGAAGATAGCAGCTGCATTTGCATAACAAAAGCAATGTATAAGTGATTTTTCAAAAAAGTAATAAAGCAGTCTTGGAAAAGAACTTAATAATTACCTTCAGAAAAAGAATTAAGCCTGGGCACAGTGGCTCATGCCTGTAATCCCAGCATTTTGGGAGGCTAAGACGGGAGAAATGCGTAAGCTCGGGAATTTGAAACCAGCCTGCACAGCAAAGACCTCATCTCTACAAAAAATTTAAAAGTTAGCCAGGTGTGGTATCACGCACCTGAGGTCCCAGCTACTAGGGAGGAGAATCTGCTTGAGCTAGGAGGTTGAGGCTGCAGTAAGCCATGGTCTTGCCACTGTACTCTAGACTGGGTACCAGAGTGAAACCCTGTCTCAAAAAAAAAAAAAAAAAAAAAAAAAGAACAATTGCAACACAGGTGGATAGACTAGCATATATATAAACTCTTTCTTCTCTAAACTTCAAAGTTCCAAGTTTATCATGATAAGAAATTTAGAGCAGTATATTCTCCTATAAGCTTCCAAACAACCCTCTCTGTCATCCACCCTCACTCCCAGACATATTATCCTGGAACCATAGCTTGTCACCTTTTATGTGAGGCTGCATCAATTATAACATACATATTCAAACAAGTTTTCAAGTGATGATTTTATTGTTGCTGCTCTTTAGAGACTTTGTTTTTGTTTCTTTTCCTTTTGTTGTCCTTTCATCGCTCAACCTAGATGCATACATACCTCAAGGTCTCTCCCAGGTGTATTGCACTAAACCTTAGCCCTTGAAATTCTCCTGCAAAACAAGGTTCTGCAGCTATGCTCTTTTGGAAGCACTGCAAACCATAATTCCTTTTTAGAGATATTTGGAGCAAGTTAGAAAAGTAAAATCTCTGAAAGGTTTTTGACATCTGTCCAGTACTTTTTTTCACCCAATATTTTACAATTTGGCCTCTGAATTCTTTTTCCTGATATCATCTATTTACTGTTGAAATCTGTGAAGCAATCTTCAGAGTCAGGAGCCCAGGCAAGGGGAGTAATGGAGTAAGGAGTAAGTGAGATCATAATCCAGAGAGAAGTGGAGGCTATCTCATGGAGAGATAACCTGTTAGACCTGGAGCAAAGCTTTCTTCTGGGGTCTAAATATAGGTACGGTGTCCTCGCCTTGAGTCTTTCTCCAAAGTTCAAATTGTAGTGTGAAGCAGGCTTACTTAACCTATTTAAAATGCACCTCACTCGTGCACCTCCACTCTAAACCCTCTATCCTCCATTTCTTAAACTGTGGACACCAAACTCCATAGCCTGCTGCTGTGCTATCAGGAGTGACCCTTTACTTGTCAGCTAGTTTCCCTATTTTCCTCTCTATCTAGAGGCCGTGGCTTTTCTAGGCCTGAGATCATTTTGGACACATATGTGTACTGGTAAAAAGATCTCTGTACAGTACAAAATTTCCCCCTGTAAGAATTTCACAGTTTAGGCCAGGCGCGGTGGCTCATGCCTGTAATTCCCACACTTTGGGAAGATGAGACAGGTGGACCACCTGAGTCCAGGAGTTCGAGACCAGCTTGGGCAACATAGCAAGACTCCATCTCTACAACAGATAAAAATTAGCCAGGCGTGGTGGTGCAGATCTGTAGTCCCAGCTACTTGAGAGGCTGAGGCGTGAAGATTGCTTGAACCCTGGAGTTCCAGGCGGTAGTGAACTGTGATAGTGCCACTGCACTCCAGCCTGGGCAACAGAGCAAGACCCTGTCTCTAAAACAAAACAAAAAAAATTACAAATACAACATTAATTGATAAGTAGACCTATGATGATAGTGGTATGTAGAGAGCAAGGTGTATGAGAAAAGGCTTCTCAAAGCCCCTGAACTTGAGCAGAATCTTGGAAGGTAAGCCCATTTTAACCAGGTAGGCAGGCAATGCCTTAGAGGCCTGAGGATGGCTCACCTGGGAAAATGATTAAAAACTCCAGTGTGGGAAGGATGGGGATTGCATTGAGGATGGGCAGGGCCTCATAATATGCCAAGTACTTTGAGCTTTATCCTAAAGTCAAAAGAGAAAACCAATGTATTTTCAATAAGAGAGAAAAATGAGGAGATTTACTTACAACACGCCACTCGGACCACAGTGTGGAAGATGGCTTTGAAGAGATCAAGGCGCTGCATACAAAAGTGTGATGTGCTATTATTTGAGTTGCAAACTGAGCTAGTCATTGTTACTTGAAAGAATAACTGAAAGACAAGCTCTGCTGTTTCAGACATGAATATTTGGCACACCTTTTTTTAATGGAAAAAAATAAGACCGTCATTTCAAGGAAAACAACTGACAGTATTAGTTGCCAATAACAAACTTGTGAGTGAAAGTTATAATTTTGGAAAACTTGTGATTGTCACGATGAGCCTGGGAGCTTTCCAATAGTAAAAGGCTTTTCTCATTGTATCAGTGGTGATATTAACAAATGTCATTTTGGATATTGTATGATGAATTGTGTCAGCATTTAAGAGATCTGCATAACTCAGTGCATCAGTATTTTCCAAGTCATCAGTACATGCCATTCCTGGGTAAAAAGATCCATTCAAAGTCCAAAATAGGAGAATGAATTTTAGTACAGTAGGAGTATGAAAAGTTCATTGTTAAAAGTTTCAGATTCTACATCTCAGGTAATCACTGACTACTACCTGTGGAGTTTTGGTATAGTAGCAGAGAAGAGTATCATTCATTGTTTGATAAGGCTACTAAAAATCCCTTCCTATTCAAAGCATTTTCTGTGCAAGGATGGATTTTCTTCAACTAAAACAACATATTGCAACTGATTGAATGCAGAAATAGATGTGAAAATCCAGCTGTCTTCCAAGCCAAACATGGAAGAGACTTGCAAAACTGTAAAATAACGTCATTCCTCTTACCAAATATGTTTTGAGAAATATAGTTAGTTGTGATAGATATTCATGTTACCATGTAATGTACTTATTATTATCATTTTAATGAAGTAATTAATATATATTTTTACTGATTATTTTAATTTTTTATTTCATAGCTGGTAAATTTTTAATTTTTAATTGTTTTGTTTTATTTTATTTTACATTTTGGGTGAGCAGGGGAGCATGTGCATGTTTGTTAAATGGGTATATTGCATACTGATGAAAGTAGGCTTCTAGTATACCCGTGGCTCAAAGAGTGATTATTGTATTCAACTGGTAATTTTTCAACCCTCAGCCTCCTTGCCTCCTTTTGGAGTCCTCAGTATCTATTATATTTTCATCTTTATGTCTATGTGTACCCATTGTTGTGCTCTCACTTATAAGTGAGAACAAAAGGTATTTGGTTTTCTGTTTCTAAGTTAGTTCACTTAGGATAATGGCCCCCTCTCCTCCATGTTGCTGGGAAGGACATAATTTCATTCTTTTTTAAGACTGTGTAGTATTCCATGGTGTTTATATACCATGTTTTCTTTATTCTGTCAACTGTTGATGAACATTTAAGTTAGTTCCATGACTTTGCTATTGTAAATAGTGCTGTGATGAACCTATGAGTGCAAGTGTCTTTTTTATATTATAAAATGATTTCCTTGGGTAAATACCCAGTAGTAGGATTGCAGGGTCAAATGATAGTTTTGTTTTTAGTCAAAATTGGTAAATATTAATAGGTACAGCCTATTTGATTTTTTAAAAAAAATCTCTTTGGGATTCTCAATAATTTTTAAAAGTGTAAAGTTGTCCTGAGACGAAAAAGTTTTAAAACTATGAGGTTAGACAGCTCTTTGCGGAAGGCAAGAGGTTTGGCATTAAATAAAATGAGATAAGATGGTTGCCAGAGGAGGACTGTGATTGGTTGGTTTGTTTAATTGTTTAATTGGGTGGAAACTTGTTTAAGGATGGAAACTTCTTGCGTATGTTTATTTCCTCATGGAATGTACCCAATAGTCTCTTATGAACTGCTGGTTGAATCATGTTCCAGTTGTGGGTTGTAAAAACATTTAAGAAGGTTGTAAAATCTATTTTAATTTTTATTCAGTGGAATAGAATAAAAATAGTAGGCTTCACTACCATAGAAAGAATAGCTATTGTTTTGTAAAACTTTTGTTTCAATTAAATCTATGTATGTTGGAATACACATGTATGTGCTGGGTCATGATGAAAAATGTTTATTTTAGTGCAGATTGCTATCAAAAGTTTTACAGATTTTGCAGGTAAGGATTGTGTTAGTCCAGCCTATGCCTGGATTCTGACTTCATGCTTATCTTGCTTGATTCTCTGCATTACCGGCTATTGTCCCCAGTGCCATTGTCTGATTTCTTACACGAGGTCCTTTATGTCTCTGTTGGCTTCTCCACACTGATCTTAGATTAATCCGATAAGAAATATATTGCAGCTTTACTTTTTCCTAGGGTTGTTTCTTCTTTGTTATCCATGTTCTATTTCCACTCAAGCCTGTACATTACACTCTTCCACTTTATCCCACAGATACCGCTCTGCAAACAATCTTTTCCTGTCAAATTAACCAGGAGTTTTCTCATTGCTGCAGTTCTGCTTAAGTCCCTCCACTCAGTTTATCTGATTTGCACTCAGTGTTCAAAGCACAAATCAAAGATCCCTCCCAGAGGAAGTCATTTCTTACCTCCTTTCCTGTCACCATCCACAATCCACAACAGGCATTCAGCACTTCTACATGGTAGATTCACAATAAGTACTAGCTACTTTAGTGAGGTATTTAGAATCACTAAACGTTTATTTCAACAACTGCCATATAGAATGAATGATGTAGGTTCTGCATAGTTTAAAAAATCCTGTACATCCAGGCAGCAGTTCCCAGAGAATGCATGTGAACAATCAGAACTTGAAGTAGGAGCATTTCAATGTCTTGGTTGAAATGTAAAGGATTGTATCACTGTGTGCAATCAAATGGAATATAGTCAGTATGATATGTCTTTTCCTCAAATTTCCCCTGAGAGTGGACTGTGTTCAAGGACATTTATATTTTATTTGAAAAGAAAGCTGACATGCATTTTTGCCGTGTTTTTTTTGAAATATAATCTTCCATTGTAATGCTTTGCAAATGTGCCCCCATATACTACCTCGTAGAGGGCCCCCTTCTTACCAACTGTGTAACCTTACATCTATCGGTTTAATTCTCAGAACCCTAGCTCTCTTATCTCTAAAAAGGAATGATTAACATGATTGCATTATCTATATTACATGGTGGTTAGGAGTAAATTAAATAATGTGTATTAGAAGAAATAAGTTACAGTGTTCTATACCACTGTCAGATGACTATAGTTAACAATAACATATATCATATAATTTCAAATAGCTGGAAGGAGGATACTGAACATTTCCAACACAAAAAAACTGACAAATGTTTTAGATGATGGATATGCTAATTACCCTGATCACTATACATTACATGTATTGAAACATCACTATGTACCCCATGACTATGTACAATTATTATATGTCAACTAAAAAAAATTTACAGAATGTATATAAAAATAGAGGTCAAATTTTACTTTATTAGTATATGAACTGTTGTCTGTCACCCTCTTTTTTTCATAAGTTTGGAGTCTTATAGGAAATAAAGAAGTTAGATAGGCATTAAGGAAAGCCAGGTCTTGTGTCACAGGTATCCACAGCATTAAGGGAGGCCGGGAAGCCAGCAGCCAGAGCCTGCTAGGAGAGAGCAACCACTTTATGCATGGGAAATTCACACTAATAGAAAAACCTATATACGGTACCTTTTCCTAAGTCATACTTTTCATAGAGAGAGTTGGTATTCCTTTTAAAACATAAATTGGCATAATAAACTGAAGATTTTTACAGGTGGGTGATGAGTACCTGTGGCTCACTGTATTCTATTTATTTTTGTATCTGTTTAAGATTTTCCACAATAAAAATTTCTAAAATTACATGTATAATGCAAGTTTTAGAGTAGTGTAAATATAGGTGTATTAGTCCATTCTCATACTGCTATAAAGAACTACCTGCGACTGGGTAATTTATGAAGAAAAGAGATTTAGTTGACTCACAGTTCCACAGGCTTAACAGGAAGTATGACTGGGAGGCCTCAGGAAAGTTACAGTCATGGCAGAAGGCAAAGAGGAAGCACACGTGGTGGCAAGAGAGAGCGAGAGTGTTGGAGGAAGTGCCACACACTTTTAATCCATGAGATATTGCGACAACTCACTCATTAACATAAGAACAGCAAGGGGGAAATCCCTTCCCATGATCCAATCACCTCCCACCAGGCCCCTCCTCCAGTTCGACATGAGATTTGAGTGGGGACACAAATCTAAACCATATCAATAGGTCACATAAGATTTGGTTTCATATGACTACTTACTCAGTTCACAGATTTCCTACATAGGTCATAGTCATTGTCGTCCATGTCAGTTCATTCCTAACATCAACTAGAAAGACAAGGATGGCCTTTCAAGAAGTGGGATAAAGAATGTTTATATTCTCCAAGGGAAACGGATCCCAAAACAAGGGACCAGGGTTGGCAAGAAGAGAAGGAGAAGCCAGGCTCAAACCATTCGCCCCACGTTATGTTACAAATCAATACACATACAATGGGGGAGACAATTGTTTCTTCCCCTATTGAGAATTCTTAGTGTTCAGTTCCCACAAAGCTGGACGAGTGGATTTTTGAAAAAATGAACTGATATTTAGTAGAAGGATAAATGCCTCCTGAAAGAAATCATGTAATTTTATACCCATGGCTCTTAACTGGGCAGTATAATATTGCTGGGTATGATGTGGTGGGAGGTTAATTTGGTCTTTTAGAACTTGCATAAAAATTTAAACCAACAACTTAATTCGGAGGTTCAGCATGAACCATTCTGTCAACCTGAAATAACTGCAAGGATCAGATCTAGTTTTAAAGAGTTTATTCCAGTGCAAAGGTGGGAATGGCCATCAGAAAATAGACTCCAGAGAAATGGGGTCAGTGCTCAGAAGTAAAAAGTTAAGGTCTTGCTTATGTAAGCAGAAAACAAATTTAACAGGATTACAGCATTTTCTATACAAGGCTGGTTTATGGGTTACAGCAATGTAATGATTGGTTACAGTTTGTTTTCTTTTCTGTAAAGCTTGTTTTCATTTCCTTTCCAATTTAAAAGTATGTTTGGCATTCCATCTTAGACAATGTGATAGTCAAGTAAAGTCCTTGTGTGAGAAAGGAAAGAAGAAAGTCAATCTGTAATGAAGATCAGCAGCGTAGAGGGAAAGGGTCTTCCCTGGTGCCCTTCAGTCATTTGCAACATTTTACAAAACAATATAGGAAGAAGGCTAATCTATAATCACAAAAACAAAGGTTACAGCTGCCTAGGTTACAGCTGCCTGTCACATGACTCAGGCCCCATAATCATATTCTTTTAGGGCTCAAAATAAGGGAAAGTTTCAACAGTTTAGATTTTGAATTACTTATTTTGACAATTCTTATACACAGGAATAATCTATTTCTGAAAAGTTGTTCAACAAATCAGCATTTTATTCGACCTCAACATCTATTAGTCACAGAATATTAGAACTGGAAGGAGACTTTGCTTCTATAAAAGACATAATTCTGGACAAGGATTTACCCCAGATTCTTCTTGGGAATGCAGTGAGATGTACATGAATTTTTTTTTTAATGTGGAAGTAAATGAAGGTCACCAAAATGAAAACAAAGAAAGGCTATGTATTCAGCACTTGCTGTAGCAAGGTAATCGTCCACCACCACTTGTGTCTGGCAAAGACTCAAAGGCAGGCAGAGGAGTGGGAAAGCTTTATAATAAAAAGAGAGAGAAAGAGAGAGAGAGAGAAAGAGCGAGCTCTGACTGGAGGTTGTTGCATGGGGAAGCTGAAAGTGGGTATCTAATATAACTAGATTGAGGAGTGTCTAGCTTTCTCTGGTTTGTCCAGAGTTATAGGCAGAGGCAAAAATTAGGGAAGCTGGTTGTCATTGCCTGAGTCTTGACCATTTTGGACTTACTACTGCTGAGCTTGTGGTTTGGCTTCCCAGGCTGGTTGCAGGGGCTGTGGGTCAGAATTCTGTGCTCATATGTGGTCTAGCCATTGTCTCTGTATACTCAGTTTCCCAAAAGATACTATTCAGGATACAGTGATTAAACCAGTGTAATTAAACTAATATTTATCCTGAAGAAACTTTCAGTAAAAGAGAACAAAAGAAATAAGACATGTACACATATGACTATAATGTAATACAGAGTGTGTCATAAGTAGGGAATAAAGAAAGTCTTAATAGCTCCAGAGAAAAGAAGACACCTCATTTCCAAGTGTTGCACTCTTAGAAATAGCGTCATCTCAGAGTTTGCACAGAAAGAAGGAAGGGGAACTTATGCTGTAAAGTACATGTTTTATCAAGGAAGTAGCATTCTCATTTTATAGGGAAGGAGTACAAAGACCTAGCCCAGAGAGGCTAAATTATTTTCCTAACATCATTCATCAAATGACGGACCTGAGATTTGCACATGGCTCTGCTAAGCAACAAAGGCCACGTTCTTTACACCAGAGGTTATCAAAGTTGTTTATCCATGCGAGTATCAAAACGTTAAGGGAGCAGGTGCAGTTTTAAAAATATAGTCAGTATTTTAATTTTTTCTTTAAAACAATAAAAAACCTATTGTTTTTCATTATTCCAGCTATAGAAAGTAAAGCTCTACAGGGTCCTCTTGGCTGGTGGAGACACATAGAAATTGCTGGCTTTCAATGGAGGGCATTTCAAACTACCTAGGTGTCTCTATGACTTTAACAATTACCAAATGGGGAAATAGTTTTAAATAATTCAACATCACTGCCATGACCTTCTGATGTTCGTGTTCTAGCCATAAGATAATAGTCACAGATATCTAGTAATAAGTGAGGTACCTTTTTATTTTTTATTCATTTCTTCATAGGATCATTGAGAATCGTTGTCAGGAAGAAGGCAACTAGACATTCTGATTTTCTTGGCACTCGTGGGGAAAACAAAATTGTGGTGGATATAAAAGAGCCAGTTATTGGACTAGAAGTTATATGTTTGTGTGCCAAGGCTTGGACCTACTTTGCCTTGGGATTTTGTATGAATTCGTCCACCATTCATCCTAATTTCTCTCTTGAGAACAGTGTGGAATGAAGGAGTAGTTGAAACTAGGTCCTGTGCAGAACCTTCTTTCATAGATGGACTAGCCAGAAGGAGGTGTTTTTTCCAAATCCCCATATAAAAGGCAAGTCAGAAAAGTCACATTGAATTTTCTCTGCTTTAAAACTAATTGTTCGGTGGGTTAGAAAGATCGACATCACTGTTCAAATACTTCTGAAAAATAAAATCCATCTTAACGTTGTAGTGCCTTGAATCGGCAACACTAGCAAGGGTACAATTAAAGTAGAAATCTTTTCCTTTTGCCCTTCTACAGTTTACTCATTGATCTTAAAAGAATTCTAGGAACTGGAAATTTAAAAATCGTTGTACAAAATAAGTAAACCAAGAGTGTTACACAGAGAAAAAGGTCAGATTCAGCAGCTGCAGAAACCACTTTAAAACTTTGAAAACCATGAAACACCTAAGACAAATAAATCACCATACTTATATTTAGTTTTAGTGTGTACACCTGAAATAAATCTTCTTCATTGGCATGAGGATGCTTTTGTCCTTTTAAAGTGCTTTTGCCCTACCTTCAGGTTATAATCCCTTTTTAATTTCATTTTGAAAATGGTAGTTAGAAACATGGTATTGTTTCATGGACTAAGCCAGCTGGATGGACCCAGGCAAAGCACTATCATATATACGGTGGTGATGGCTGTGAGGTCATCCCTTTAATTACTCTTGGAAGAACTCTACTAAGACCATCCCAGAGACATCTCTGGGCTGCATTTTATAAGTATGTTACCATAAAAATAAATTACTTAAGTAACATTTCTTGATATCACATCATTAAAAATATATATTTTTAGCCCTTCTGCCTACACTTAATCCAAAGTCCTCATGTTTCATCTCAGTGGAAGCAGAGTAGTGCTTTCTCTTGTGGCTTCAGATGGAGCATTTCATACTCTGACAGGTCCTGCCCAGGTTTCATAAGAATATTAAGCTCGAATGACCTGAGGCATCTATTGTGTGTAATAAATAAACTTCTCTCCTATGTGTTTGGAATGCCACTAGTCCTGTACCAGCCTTGAAAGAATTGAGAGAAGAATCACCTACATGATACTCTGAAATGTTCTAGGCTCTGCGTCACTGAACACATGATGACAGAGCCTTATTTTCAACAATGGGTACATTTATTGTTTTCAGTCAGTTTATGGGAATAACAGAGATGCTTTTAGTCCACAGTGCACATTCAGTCTTATTTCCTGGTTTGCAGTGTAGGATTAGGATGGAAGTAAGCATGCATAAGGCTGTTCTTCCCACCATCAGTCCTGGAGTTGTGTGAAGGTGTTGGAGGGAGAATATCTGGAAACGAGTCTGTGATGCCCAGTGGCCATCAATAGACTGGATTGTTTTTACACTTGTCTTTTCATTTTTTTTTTTACTTGTAGAGAGGGGGGGTCTTGCTATGTTGTCCAGGCTGGTCTCAAACTCCTGGCCTCAAGCAATCCTTCTCCCTCAGCTTTCCAAAGCACTGAGATTACATGAACCATGGTATCTGGCCTCGGCCAGGTTTCCCTCACAAATATCAAGCGGGGCAGACAATTGTAGAAGGATGTGCTCCATACAGAACTATGAGAATGACTGGGTCTGTTGCTCACGAAAAGGAGGAGGAGATAGTGTGGATCAACATTTATGGATGTACGAATACCATGAATAGGATAAACAAGGTGTTAGTCACTAAATTCTCATACTGTAAAATGGTGGGGCTTCTTTTGAGCTTGAATGAGGCAAGAATTAAATAATAGGAACTAGATATGAATTCAACTAGCAGATAATTTACATACAGAATTTATTACCCAAGGAGGTGGGAAACTTAAGTGGCTTCCGAAATATTTGTATGAATTTATAAACAACAAAGACATAAATGGCTACAAAGAGAAGCTGGGATTTAAATCAAAGAATTGAAACATTAGAGTAATTCTTATGTTCCAAAGCTATTTTAAATCTATTATACTCCGTGGAGGTATTGTGAGACCCCTTTCCTTTAGTAAGAATGTTTTAAAATGGCAAGCTTGGCCAAGCACGGTGGCTCACTCCCATAATCCCAGAGCTTTGGGAGGCTGGGGCGGGTGGATCACTTGAGGTCAGGAATTTGAGACCAGCCTGGATAACATGGTGAAACCCCATCTCTACTAAAAATACAAAAATTAGCTGGGCATGATGGCGGGCACTTGTAAGCTATTTGAGAGGCTGAGACAGGAGAATCACTTGAACCTGGGAGGTGGAGGCTGCAGTGAGCCAAGATCGCACCATCATACTCCAGCCTGGGCAATAGAGTGAGACTCTGTCTCAAAAAAAAAAAAAGAGTGAGTGAGACCCTGTCTCAATAATAAAATAAAATAAAATAAAATAAAATAAAAATGAAATAATAAAATAAAATGGCAAACTCAGCCAAGAGCCCTTTGACTTTTTTTATGTCCTTCCTGCCGGAATCTCAGAGATTAGCTAAATCCCAGGCATCTTCTGCATTCTCTGCCTTTTTCACTCATCCAAATCAATGGTTGTCTTTAGGTATTTTGTTTGCTAAATATCATTGTTCATTTATTTTTTAGAGGAATGATTCGTCCATTTTTGTTACACATAGAGGTTGCTGAATTTCAAGTTGATTCCAGAAGCTAGAATAGAAGGGCTTGTCTGAAATCAAGCACCTGCGTCAATTAAAAAAAGTCCCAAGAGAAGCCTTTCATCTGTCAGGAACTGTGGTCTCTCCATCTGAAAGGGGGCCGATGATAAGACTATTGATTCGGACTTCCAGGGTTATTGGAGATGTGACTAAGAAAAAAGGGAATGTAAACAATTTCGTTCATTAACTCTGAATTTAAAAGGTTGTAAAAAGAGATAATTTGGAGGTAGACTAGTTTAGTTGTTGAAAGTCAATAGCAATTATACAGAATGTTTACAGAGAGTATATTGTAAAGAGCAGTTGGCGATATTTAACCCTCAAATGTGTTACAACAGACATTTGAATAAAGAACTTAACGTTTAATATTTTAATACTATTAAAGTGGGAATTCTTAATTATTATTATTATTATTTTTTTGAGATGGAGTTTAGCTCTTGTTGCCCAGACTGGAGTGCAGTGGCATAATCTCGGCTCACTGCAACCTCTGCCTCCTGGGTTCAAGCGATTCTCCTGCCTCAGCCTCCTGAGTAGCTGGGATTACAGGCACCCAACACTAAGCCCGGCTAATTTTTGTATTTTTAGTAGAGAGACGGTTTCACCATGTTCGTCAGGCTGGTCTCAAATTCCTGAACTAAGGCGATCCACCTGCCTCAGCCTCCCAAAGTGCTGGAATTACAGGTGTGAGCCACTGCGCCCGGCCAGAATTCTTAATTATTTCAAATAGAAAATAATATTAATTATAAAAGTAATACGTCCTGTTGGTGAACATACAAACACAGCAAAGAAGTATGTAAAGTAAAAAATGGGGGGTGATAATTCCTCATGGACCATGCCACAGATAGCAAAACTAATGCAAATTACCAAAGCTTTTATAATCTAAAGAGAATGATATTTATGTTAATAAATAACTTACATGTAAGTCATGTAAAGTAAGGTAGGGTAAAAAAAATTTAAACTAAAAATAAAGATCTCAAGTAGTTTAACAGAGAATATGATCATATTCTGTTGGGATGAGAGAGGTAGGGGGAGGGATAAAGACGGACGTCAGTAGGAAATTACAATTTGGAATGATCCTAGAAGTATAGCTGAATTTCCACAGGCACAGATGGAAAAGGGAAGGGCGCAGCTGGCATGAGGAAGTGTATGTGAGAAGGTGAGGCAGGCAGGAGCAATTGCTGAGCATGTGGGAAGCAAGTTATAACGCTAGAATGACAGTTGGGCGTCATATCGTGGATAAATTTGGGTGGTCATTTCGCTTACAGAAAATTCATGGGGTTGTCAGGCCAATGGAAGTTTTAAACAAGAGATGAAATATTTAAACTTGTTCCCAGGTTAATTCTGGGGTTTGCTACTTGAGCGAACTGATGTGAGCTCAAGTGGGATCAGGAGGTAAGGAGTTCGTATAAGAGAGAATTTCAAGCAGGCAGTATGTGAACTAAGTTGATAGCAAAGGTGGAATTGTGTTTGAAAATGACTACAGAGACACCTTCCAGAAAGGTTAAAATTGTCAAGTTGGAGAGGCAGAAGGAGAAGGATTCTGACAGAATTCATTATTCTGTGCAGGAGTCTTACTCATTCCCATCTTGACGCCGAAGATGAAGCAATTGATTAAAGTATTCGTGTGCTCTGCCTCCTCCTTTCCTTTATAGCTCTCTATCCTGCCTACCCTCTAGGATCAGCTTAATCTTACTTTTCCCATGAAGTCTTTCCCAAATAGTTCAGGGGACATTGACAACTCTCCTATTTGAACTTTGACTGCAATAAAAATTAGCCACGAGGCTCCTTTTGAGAGTTAAAGAAGTGATACCTCCTAGGAACAAAAAAGAAATCTGGAAACCTAAGTTACTCTTTCACATACATTTAGCATCGTTGGTATTTTCTACCTCGGGGCAAATACTTACCATGCCGAAGAGTGCAATGTAATTAACCACTTGGCCTATTTGGTCATGCTACTTCCGTCTTTCTGTCTTTCATAGCTGTGAAATCTCATTCAGTTGTTTGACTTGTCTGTCCAACGTTCTTTTCTGCATCAATTTTTGTCTTTCTTTGGCGCTTTTTTTTTTTTTTTTTTTTGAGACGGAGTCTCGCTCTGTCGCCCTGGCTGGAGTGCAGTGGTGTGTTCTCGGCTCACTGCAGCCTCTGCCTCCCGGGTTCAAGCGATTCTTCTGCCTCAGCCTCCCGATAGCTGGGATTACAGGCGCGCGTCACTACGCCCAGCTACTTTTTGTATTTTTAGTAGAGACCGGCTTTCACCATGTTGGCCAAGCTTTCACCATGTTGGTCTCAAACTCCTGACCTTGTGATCCACCCGCCTCGGCATCCCAAAGTGCTGGGATTACAGGTGTGAGCCACCGCACCTGGCCCTTGGGCTCTTTCTCATTATTCAGCAACCACCCACTCTTATTTTTTTGAGACTGCTTTTCTTACACTTTTTTCTGCTATATAACTTTATCCATGTATCGTTCAATGGGTTTTTATATTGAATAAGGTGATAACGAATGCCTTTAGTTTCTCTGCCCAGCACCCCTTCCAACTCCACCTCCAGTGTTATAAATCAAAGTTTTTGCCCCAAAATTCAGGTATGGAAATTAGAGAAGGAATTTCTCCTTGGGTTCATATAAACTTGTCAGCATTAAATAATGAGATTCAGAAAATATGATTAAGTGTAGAATTTATTTGAGCACAACGTTTGAGGCTGTCACCACCTGGGTAACACAGACTCCAAAAGAATGGGGTTAGTGCATCCAAGTGTGGAGGTAAGGTTTCACTTATATAGGTAGAGACAGAAATGTTAACAGAGTTGCAACATTTTTCATGCAAGACCAATTCTTAGATTATGTTACAGGAGTTTGATTAGTTATAGTTTACTACATTCCAAGGAAGACTGATTCGACATTTTATAAGGAGGAGTAATAGACTCTTATTTATGGCACCTTTCAGCCTTTCCTAATCATCCACAGCACAAGAGTAACATACTGTAATCTGTAATCGGAGAAGCAGGAATTGCAGCTGCATGCTATGTGCTCAGGCCATATAGTCACATTTTTCTCAAAGCTCAAATAATTTAAAGTTCCAACAGCTTTAAATTGGAATTATTTAATTTCACAAACTGTAAAACTCAAGCAGTAAGGGCAGCCATTTTTGCTGTTCTGTGCATTGAAGAACTAAGAGAGGACTCTAGGCCGAGAAGAAAAAGTGGGCTCACCACAAGGAGCAGAGTGGAGGGGGCAGTAAGCATGCCCTAAAGGCGGGCTGCTTATGAGACCCACTTATGTGCCCGTCTTCGAGTTCCAGAAGACATCCCACAGTACTTACAACACATTTCTTTGTTCATGACAATTGAATTTGGGATTCTGTCAACCCAAGTAATCCCAACAAACACAGTGAGCATAATTGTTTATTTATCTGTTTATTTATTTTCAGTGGAGGTTATATTCCTTGAGATGAATGAGAGAAATGATTTATTTAAAAAAAAAAAAGCAGAAACGTCTATAAATTAGAAAAAAAACCTCTACTTTATTTCTGCAAAATCACAAAAGGATAAAATTTCTAAGTTTCTAAGCTTCTAAGCTTTCAAATGAGTTATGTTATCGTGTGTGTGTGTGTGTGTGTGTGTGTGTGTGGTGGTGGTGTTGGTTTTTTTTTTTTTTTTTTTTTTTGGAGACGGAGTCTCGCTCTGTCACCCAGGCTGGAGTTCAGTTGCGCGATCTCGGCTCACTGCAACCTCCGCCTCCCAGGTTCAAGGGATTCTCCTGCCTCAGACTCCTGATTAGCTGGGACTACAGGCACCTGCCACCACACATGACTAATTTTTTTGTATTTTTAGTAGAGACAGAATTTCGCCATGTTGGCCAGGCTGGTCTCAAACTCCGGACCTCAGGTGATCCGTTGGCCTCGGCTTCCCAAGTGCTGGGATTATAGGCATGAGCCACCATGCCTCACTGAGTTACTGTTTTTTAAATAAATAAATCTATATTTAAGTTAAACTAGGACAGATTTACATGCAATAAGATTTTACTAGTTTCTATTTTTAGTCGATTATTCATGAAAATGGCAGTTTTTTAATATGAAAAGAGTAATTAATTCTGAGTTAAGATACTGACTGCAATAAACTATAACATGGGGAAAAATCATATCAATTAGAAGCAGCTTTAATTGAATTATTACAGCAGAAAACAGTTTGTCTTGCAAATTTTAATCTCATTATTCTTAATTTAACTTTCATTAGAGACTGACTCTACTTTCTCTGTTTTCACTGATGAATTCAGAAGTGTAAATGATTTTCTGCATTCGAAAGGCTTTCTGAAGTAAAAAGAGTTATAGGCGAATTTAAATTATGAAAACCTGCCACCACCTAACTGCCCAAGAAATCCAAGAAGCGCTTCAGTGATCATTTCTCCCATTTTCATAGCTAGCACTTAAAATGACAGTACACACCATAATTTGAAAGTATGTGCACATAGAAAAAAGCCATTCAATCTGCCCACTTAGTCTCCCATTTATATCTCCAAATGCCTGTGCTTAATGGTGGTTGTAAGGCAGAGTTGGAAAACTTCTTCTGAAATTTTGATTGATTCATTTCTTTTTCAGAATTACAGAGTACAAAACGTTTTAGCTTTACTTCATAACAAATGTTTTGCCTACAGTCATGGTGTCTCTGTAAAGCGATTGGCTTAATGAAATCAATAATAATGATATTGTGGTAAAGTTCCGGCAAATATAGCTACAAGTTAATTTAATTAAACTCCCATAATTGTTTAGAACATTAGAGAACTGGAAAGGTTTCAAGGCAGTGATTTTGTTTTCATCAATATGTGGGAGCCCTGTCTGGCAGCCCCTCTTGAATAATTAGTAACTCTCTTCAAAGAAGATGGACCTGTGTAATATGCTCCTTCTTTCATTCCGCCAAGTGTTCGGGCGGGAACTGTTTAACCTGAGCCTTTTTGAAATACATCACAAGCTTGAAGTGACATCTAAACTATTCCAAAGGAAATGCTAATTATGAATTCCTGAGAAAAGAGCAGGGTGTTGAAGTTCAATAGTGCCTTTCATCTTGAGGGCTTACACATGGCAATGAACTTGAGTGTCACATCTACAAGCAAGAAGACAGCCTCATCAACAGCCACTGATTTACTCTCTTGCATTAAAGGAAGAAATTCCTCTAACAAGTAAGCTGAAGTATCTCTGCATTAGATAGAGCATAAAGGAAGAAATTCCTCTAACAAGTAAGCTGGAGTATCTGCATTAGATAGAGCAGAAAAAATAAGAGGGATAAGAGTGTTTTAACCTGCCCTACGCTGAGCTACTCTGTGTCACTATTTCTGATGCTGATAATGTATTTTTCACAAAAGTTACATACAAAGAAAAAAACATATCAAACATCTCAAGACCAAATCTTAAATTAACTTCCACTTTTGTTTTGAGGCTCTCAGAAAATGCAAACATATGCCTTAAACAAAAATACATCAATCCCCTCTTCTCTTTTTAAAGTGAGCCTCCATTATGGACCAGACACTTTATATATTAACAATGCAAAGATGAGTAAGGTAAGAATTTTTTCCTCCAGAAGTTTACATCTAAGGGAAAACAGATAGTTTTACTAGTTAATGAAATATGGAGGGTTCTGTAACAGAAGCATAAAAAGTTTTGAATGAGTTCAGCAATACATATTCTCAAAATTACTTTGTAAAATACACTTGTTTAACTTTTACTTTTATCACGCATAGTGAATCAGTTTGCATTAAAAAATTAAGTCTTGCAAACAGCACTCAATTTAATTTAATTTTTAATCTAAATAACTTCAAGAGGCAAATTTGTCAAGAAAAGATGACAGCAAAGACGTTTTCATTTTGTTAAAAGTGAATGCCATCTCATTTCCCTTTCTAAATATGATTTTTTTCATAGCTTACATAGCCTTTGCTTATATGCACAAATATTTCCCCTGACATTTCTTCAAATCAAATCTCCTGTCTTGCAGGGGCCAACATGAACTCAGTTTTTTACAGGAAATCAAAGACAGAGCTTATGTATAGGCATCTCTGACTACTTATTGCTTGACAATTTATTGCGTCTAACAAATATTTGCACTTAACTACAGCATCTTTGCCGGCTGAATTATAAAAGAAAAAGGATCCGTATCTTCCTAGTACAACGATGAAGGAAGAAAATTATGTTGATGATGATGATGATGATGGTGTTGGTGGTGGCATCATAGTAAGCATTTAATTAGCATTGTTTCACTAATTCTCACCCTTGATAAGATGTATACAATTTATGATTATCTCCATTTTACAGATGAGATAACCGAATCTTTGAGTGTTAAATTAACTCACCTGTTCAGATGGCTTGTAAGTAGTACAGTCAGGATTCAAACTCAGGTCTAACCGGCCTAAATGCATGCTTTTAATAACTACGTCTTGCATTGAAACTAAAATGTGCTGACAATTGGAAGCAAATACATTTGTATAAGGTCTTGTTTGATTATTTTATTTTATTTATTTTTGAGACAGAGTCTCATTCTGTAGCGCAAGCTGGAGTGCAGTGGCAGGACCACAGCTCACTGCAGCCTTGACCTTCCAGGCTCAAGAGATCCTCTCACTTCAGCCTCCTGGGTAGCTGGGATCACAGGTGCTTGCCACCATGCCCAGTTCATTTTCATATTTTTTTTTAAGAGATAGAGTTTTGCCATGTTGCCCAAGCTGGTCTCAAACTCCTGAGCTCAAGTCATCCTCCTGTGTTGGCCTCCCAAAGTGCTGAGATTACTGGCGTGAGCCACCGAGCCTGGCCTGGTTTTATTTAATTTAATAGCTTCATCTATTTGTCTGTAACAGGGAATTGGCTCTTTGACCTAGTGTGGAAACTTACCTCCTTCTGAATGCTGATGATTATTTCCAGACTTCAATCATTTTGTAGCTAGGAGAAGTCTTACAGATCATCTACTTTGAACTTCTTAAGAGTAAAGAAAATAGCCTTCAGAAAAATCCTCGGTGACCCAAGGCATGCCAGCTCTCCTGCCCATGCCCATCGTCTAGTGTTCTCTTCTCCCATGCCCAGTTTCCTCACCCTCAGAAACAGGCTTATGGAAGTGAAAACACACAACTCAATGGCATTTTAATGAATATATGCATGTGCATATATGTGTGTGCATACACATGTATACATGCATATATATGCGTGTGTGTAAGTATATATATATACACACATATATATACACACACATACATATATATATGGGATACTTGAGGTACCTGAGTCTTTTGGCCTTAGACTAAATTGCCCCAAATATTTTCATATTTATTGGAGTTGCTTTTTACTATCCCTCATACCTCTTACTGTCTAACTAACTTGCTCTGTTTTTTTTTTTTTGCTTGCTTGTAGCATTTTTCTTCTCATCCAATTGCTGTTGCTAATAGTGGGAAAACAGACCATCAAGCATGTTCAAGTCATGCTTAATATAAAAATTAATAGACTCTGAGTGAATGCTCGAGGGAACATCAACAGATAAGATGCATGTGTTTTTTTATGTGGACTTGGTGACTGTGACAACCAAAATGAGTGATTGAGACATAAATCTCAATCACTGAAGCTTGTTGAGCCAGCTTGAGGACAAGTTATGGATGCCTGTTTGGCTGTTTTTCCCAGAGGTTCTTAGGAGGTTTAGTATTTATACATTTTCCTTAAAAAAGAGGAGGCAACAGTGAGAGGAATGATTACATACTTGCGAGACTTTAATTAGTGCCCTGTAAGTTTACTTTTTACATAAGATAAGGTGAACATTTGAAAAAAAAGGGAATGGAGGGAGCAGACATCCCAGAGAGGAGTGAAGGAATGACTGATCTCATTTTAGCTTTGTTCTGTCCTGGGAAGATAAGTCATTAATCAACATTATCAATGTGGAGTCTTTCAAAAGGGTCAGTTTCTGTTTGCCCCTTAGGGAAGAAAGGCTGATAGTGGTTAGTGAGGAAGGGGTACAACGAGGTGTGTCCCACCCCCCATCCCATCATGGCCATGAACTTAGCTTCCAGGGTTTCCCTGGGGTCCCGTTAGCCAAGAGGGGGTCCCTTCAGTCATTTGAGGGCTAGAATTTTCTTTTTCTTTTTAATTGATTTTAGTTTTTAGAAAGCAGGGGTTTTTTTTATGTGTCTTTGTTCTTCATTTTGTTGTTGTTGTTTTCTTTTGTTTGTTTTTGTCTCATTCTAGGCCATGAGAAGGTTCACGGATAAATTATGTCTGGATAAAGATAAAAACAGCTGAATGCATGTACATGATCACGTTTTCAGTCTAGAACACCAATCCTATTTTTACTTGGAGTTAAAATTTTTTTCTCTTGTGGAAATGATGACTCAGAAAAATGGAATATTTTGGAATACAACCACAGAAGTCACTTTTACTTTCCAGCCTCCTATTCTCACTCCTTTGGGATCCCATGAACTGAGAGGGGATGAGACTATACAAAGAAAACACTGCCACTCATAGCTACGCACCTAAATTCAGCCCGAAGCAGAGGTGACTGCTGCCACATCTCTAGGTGCTGAGATGAAAGTGTGAGTCAGAGAGGTTTCCATGTCCCTCTAATCCAGCCTGCTTTAAACCGTTAAGCAGATAATACAAGGGTTTAGAGGCTGATATGAGGCAGGACAAAGCAGCTTATTCTGCATTTCTGAACATTGTGGCAGGTCAGTCATGAACAAATAGTAACAAAATAAAAAGTCATCAGAGTATGTCTATTTTCATGTTTCTATACTTAGAGATCTTTATTACAGATCTTTATTACAAAAGAAGTGGGGTATTTGGTATTTGGTTATTGTTGGGGTCTTTTACAGGCCTGATAAAATCATTTTTTTTCTTTCTTTTTTATTTATTTATTTATTTTTTGTTTTTGAGGTGAAGTCTCACTCTGTCTCCCAGGCTGGAGGGCAGTGGTATGATCTCGGCTCACTGCAAGCTCTGCCTCTGGGGTTCAGGTGATTCTCCTGCCTCAGCCTCCCGAGTAGCTGGGATTACAGGCGCCTGTCACCATGCCCAGCTAATTTTTGTATTTTTAGTAGAGACAGGGTTGCGCCATGTTGGCCAGGCTGGTCTGGAACTCTTGACCTCAGGTGATCTGCCTGCCTTGGTCTCCCAAAGTGCTGGGATTACAGGCGTGAGCCACCGTGCCCAGCATCATGTTCTTTTTATACTTGATTTCTGAGCCAACTGAGAACTATAACCATAAAGACAGGCACGTAGGGGTCACAACATCACCCTGATTGCTGATAAAGGTATTATGGAAGAATGTTTGTGCACAAGTCACTGTTAATCCTGAAACACAATCCTGAATAGACTTGCTTACCCACTAGGGCAGGCATCTCTACATCAGCAGAGTTAGATGTGGGCTTCTAGCCAAGAGAAAAAGAGTGGGCCCTGCAGGCCAGTTTCTCATTCCCAGCTCTTCTGTCTGATAAGTCAGCTCAGCTCCCCTGGAGTAAATTAGGGGGCAGAGACAAGGCAAGGGGATTAGGGTAATGGCGCTCCTTCCACATGGAAAGAAACATGAAGGTGGAGAATAAGCATCCCCAGATATCGTGGGTGTGCATGGACATTTGGTCTAATATTTGTTGTTCTATATATGTACCAGGCTTTATATATGTTGTATCATTTGCCCTTAAAATACTTTACCCCACCCTAGGCCCAATGCAATCCCATGAAGAACGCTATGAAGAAATTATTACAAGTATTATTATCACCATTTTATGGATCAGAAAACTGAGTCTTAGAGAGGTTATTTAACTTACTCAAAGAACATAGATAATAATTACAAGAGCTAAGAGTCAAATACAAACCTGTGTTTCATTAAAACCCATTCTTTCCACATCTCCAGTTATTTGTCATAGTAATACATCTGTTCATAGTGTGATTACAACATAGTAATACATCCGTTGATACCAAGAACATTAGATTTCTTAGCTGAAAACCATTCTAAAGCTATGTTGATGGAAATTTTTTTTTTTTTTTTTTTTTTTGAAATGGAGTCTTGCTCTTTTGCCCAGGCTGGAGTGCAGTGGCGCCATCTCGGCTCACTGCAAGCTCTGCCTCCTGGGTTCACTCCATTCTCCTGCCTCAGCCTCCCGAGTACCTGGGACTACAGGCGCCTGCCACCGCGCCCGGCTAATTTTTTGTATTTTTAGTAGAGATGGGGTTTCACCGTGTTAGCCAGGATGGTCTCGATCTCCTGACCTCATGATCCGCCCGCCTCGGCCTCCCAAAGTGCTGGGATTACAGGTGTGAGCCACCGCGCCCGGCCAATGGAAATTTGATAATTCATTAATATAAAGTTTAGACTGTGTTTTTTTTAACTGTTTACTTTGAAATAATTTTAGGCTTATAGATAAAAAGAAAAGATAACAGAATTCCCATACACTCTTTACTCAGCTTCCCTTAATGTTAATATCTTACATAACCATGGCATAATTATCAAAACAAGAAATTAACATTAGTACAACACTATTAGCTAAACTACATACTTTACTCAGATTTCACCTTGGTTGTCACTATTGACTGAATTTTTTGAGGGTAGGAACTGTATTGTATGCATTTTCATATCCACGGTGCCCAGTCATATGTCTGGTGTAGAGTTAGTGATAAGTGGTTGTGGAATGAGTAAATGGATGAATGGATTTTAAGTCCCATACTACCACTTGGGTATGTTTGTGTGTCTCTGCATCTCCCAGGTTTAGAAGCACATGAGTAATGTCTGTGGCTATGATTTGAATGAATGAATGTTCTTCAAAACTAAATTCCACATTGACTTTGTGAAGCACAGCCCTTTAGAATTACCAGCAATTTGTAAAAGTAAAAGAGAGTGTACTAATGAGATTGAAACAAAGATAAAGGGGAATCTAGTAAACGGACAGAAGGCTGTGGTGTTACATTCATTTTATTGTATACATATGTGTGTGTGTGCATGTGTGTGTACATGCACGTGTATGTGTACTTGTGTGCATATATGTGTGTGTGTACATGTGCATGTGTGGAGTGTATGTGCACATGCATGAGTGTATGTGCATGAGAGTGTGTATGTGTGTGTATTTGTTTCATAACACACTTCAGTAAGTACCCGGGCAAGAGATGTAATAGTAGTTGGCAATCAGTCCTGGATTTCTAGGCAGGTTTTAGAACTTTATTGTAAAACAAAATCACGGAAATTCTCTTGCTTGAAGAAGCAATTCAAGCAGATGCTTTTAAGGCTCTACTTGCTTTTGCACTGATTTCAGTAGAGGTAACATTAATGAAGCATGAATGTGCTATGACAATGGTTTCTAAAACCTTGTGAAATAAACACTCTTTGATCTTAACCTTTATAACCAAGGTACATGAAATCAGGAGAAAGGCAATATTCAAAGCACAAAATTCCTATTGGTAGCTTAATGGGCCCTAACATGGCTGTTTTTCTTGCTGTTTCCTCCATCTCTTTTTAACAGTATTTAAACTATTAATGTGGCAAAAACTAGAAAGGCAAGAATACGGCATTGTTCTTAGTTGGGCAAAACAGGAATACAAAATTGTTATGAGAGCTGATTTTTTTTCAAAAAAGTTCAACTTTATAAAGGTTTTAATTATGTTATTATTGTTTAGATGGAAGACGTCATAGCACGGATGCAAGATGAAAAAAATGGAATTCCTATTCGTACGGTCAAAAGCTTTCTTTCCAAGATACCTAGCGTCTTCTCTGGTAAGTCTGCATGGAGCACAGTTCTGTTTTCTCCTGTACCTCTTAGATAACTCTTTAAAACTGATTCCAGCTGTTCACTATTGAAACTCTGTCTCTAATCCATTATTCAGTAACTACTTATAAAATGCCTGTGGTATATTTATCATGTGAAACACTTGAAATGATAGTAAAACAAAACGCCAAAAATCATGACCCTGCTCTAGGTTAGTTTGTAAAGACCGAATGAACAAATGCGAAGTAAAACAATATTAAAATAAATAAAGACGTATAAAAAACAATGTTATGAAGGTTGTATATGGAAATTAGGAGGGTGAAAAAAATCAGTGATTTCTTTTTCCTGACTGATGGGGAGTAAGGAAAGGGTTTCTGCAGAGCAGTGGTGAGCTGTTTGAAAGATGAGGAAGAGCCATACTCGCTCAAGACCGCTGTCACCACCAACTGTGCTCACCGAACTCGACAGTGACCAAACTGTAGAGAACTTGGGTCAGGTTATGAGGGTCTGTGAAAGCTAGCCAAAGAATCTAATTCTGATAAAAGGGGAAATATGGAGACATTTAAAATGTTTGGCAGAGGATATTGTGATGAAAGTGCTCGGGATAAATTGGCATTCAGTAAGGGCAATAGCACTGTGACAAGGGTAAGGCTGTTGCAGGAACAGGTTTGGGTGCCCAGGTCCTGATATCCAAGGGCTGAAGGAATAGAGAGGAAAGAGCGTGAGGGTTTAGTGAATAACTAGGCATGCAGAATAAAAGACATAGCCCAATGGATTTCATTTTTTTGTTGTTGGTGTTTTATTTTAAAATGAGGAGACTGAGAGAGGAAAGAATCATTATCCAAAATGAGGAACCCCCGCGGGTTTGATTGGCAATGACTGGAGAAACCCAAGACACAAGGAAGAGTAATAAGATAAGCCTCTGTGCTCTGACTCCAGGGGGCAGTGAAAGTGCCAGTTTTGGGGCCTGGGATGTGCTGGGGCATGGCCTGGCACAGCTTAGGAAAGAGGTGAGATCAGACAGCCCGAAGCCTCAGCAGCGAGGAGGGAGAAGAAGGCGGCTGATGCTGAGTGTGGCTGGGAAGGGTGCTTCATGGGATTCCTGTACAGGGGTTGCAGGCTGCTTCCTCATGACCAGGATCAAGAGAATATTCATGATCAGGAAGCTGTCAAGCCTAGGAAGAGGGTAGAGATCAGGACAGGAATAATAGGGAAGCGGCCTCCGTGTCGGGGTTTGATACCTGTGTTGCTGTCAGAGAGAAGAGAGGGAGCTTGGAGCTGAGGAGAGCTACTGTGGAATGACATTTTGCTCTAACAAAATGTGTCTTCTTTTTTCCCTGTTACTCCCTCTTATGCCCACTTCGTTCTAGTTTCTTGCTTTTTCTCAATGATGCCTTGCACTTTTTACATCTGTGGCTTCACTCCATTTCTCCTCTCCTCACCGTCCCACTTACAGGCCATTCTGCTTGTTAAATTCCATCCATTCTTCAGTAGTCAGTTCAGAGAGCTCATTGGTGAAAACTCTCCTGAAGCTTTTGCCTCTGTGCTCTCAAAGGCCTTGGTTTTTGCATCTCTTGTACGCTCCACTTTGTCTTAGAGTTATTTTGCACATGTCCCTAGCTAAACCTTAAGCTCCATTTGGTCAAGGATTCAGAGTTAACTCCACATCTAAACACGCATATAAAAATGTTACTCATATATATATTGATGAGCTAATGAAAGGGGTGAACTTATCTCCTTTAGAATTCAGGCAGATAAATGCACTACGTTGCCATCCTGCACTGGGAACTGGTCAGTTCCACTGTGTATGGCCTGCTTAGAGGCATTCTAATTCAGGAATTATGAAAATACATAGGCTAAACAAAAAACTTTGCTCATCTGATTAAGTTTGGCTGCAATTTTGTGATACCCACTCTAGTGGAGTCTAAAATTTTTGATTGAGTTCTTCAGATAGCAAATATCTCAACAGCAAGCTGTTGGAAGAATTCTTGGTTGACAACATTAAGATTTTAATTGAAAAATAAGATTGGACATATAGATTGAGAATTAACCTGGGAATCTCTAATAATTGTTTTAATGTTCACTGCTGTAAAATAACAGTGGTAGCTATTCAATAAAGAGAATATCAATGACATTTTTCACGTTAATGTAATTAGGTCCAAGTAATCATTTTATATTCCCTGGAAACTTTGCAGGCGTGCTCTGCCTCGTAGGTTCAATTAGATGCTTTGTCGTGGATTTAGTTGGTATATCTAGTATTATGTCTAGCACTTATCAGCTTCTTTATATTAATATTCCCAAATTATAATGTTCTCAAGCTCCATTCACTTTACTAGAAGTTTTCAGTCTTTTCTAGTTAGTATCCCTCCCCAGATTTTTCTTATAATCTGTGGGGATTGTTAATTCCTCTATTCTTTTGTGGCCCAACTCGCAACGGACTGCTGGCTTTCCCAGCTCTTTCAGCTTCCCCCTTCTCTCCCTGAGCATGTTTCATGGTCTACTGCAGAGCTTCTAATGAAACAAGGAATCCGCTGACTTTATTGCCCTTAGTAGAACCAGAAACCATTGTGATGAAGTCCTGCCATATGTGAAAGGAGGGTAGTGCAGTTGTTGCAGACTGGAGTCAATCTTTGCTATGGACTGTTCCACACGGAAGGAAGGATCGCAAATGTTGTAAATCTAACTTTCTCAAGTTACCAATTTGTGCTCCTTAAAGCCTCATTACTTCCATGGACCATTAGTATCAGAATCACTTGGAAACTTACAGGGAGAGATGTGTTAAAGAATGCGAAATTACAGCCACATAGTTCCAGTGTTCTATGCCACCGTAGAATGACTATAGTTAACAATAATATGTTGTGTAGCTTCAAATAGCTAGGAGGACATTGAGCCGTCCTGACAGAAAGAAATGATAAATATTTAAGATAATGGATATGTTAATTACTCAAAAAGGATAAATGTTTATCATTTCTCACTTTTCATTATTTATCACCATACATTATTTGTTTCTTGTTTTGTTTTGTTTTTTGATACAGTCTTGCTCTGTCACCCAGGCTGGAGTGCAGTGGTGCAAACATGGCAGCCTCACCCTCCTGAGCTCAAGCAATCCTCCTGCCTCAGCATCCCAAGTAGCTGGGACCACAGGCACCTGCCACCATGCCTGGTTGATTTTTAATTTTTTGTTTGTTTGTTTTGGTAGAGACAAGATCTCACCATGTTGCCTAGGCTAGTCTCAAATTCCTGGGCTCCAGTGATCTTCCTGCCTTGGCCTCCCAAAGTGCTGGGATTATAGGAATGAGCCCAGCCATCATATATTATTTGTATCAAAACATCACTATGTATCCCATGAATATGTACAATTATTATTTGTTAATTTTAAAAGAAAATATAGTATCTGGACCCACCCCCAGATGTACTAAATTAGAACCTCAATTTGTGCACTAAAGTTTAAGACATATTGCCTTAAAATGCACCCAGAGAAGCTGGGCAGCTCCGGGGAGCATGCTTGTTTTATTGAGAGCTCTGGGATCAGTGGCCACCTTGCTTGTGCCAATCTTTTTCTTTGAAGGGCTCTAATCATCTCTGCAGTCTGGCCTCAATCAAGGCCACCCCAGCCTATCTAATGACTTTTTAAAAAAAATTTTACTTGGGGAAGGAAAAAGCAGTTAGGAAGAATAATCTAGTTCTTTCTCCTTCCTTTACTCCCAAGCTGAGAGTCTCTGTTGCCCCTAAGATTGATAGCTGTCAACAGCTTTGTGGGAGAATGAACACTACCCAACTCCACCAGACAACTCCCATGCTTCAAAGGAAAACATAGGTCATGGTGGCCAAGTAATGCCCATATCCACCTCAAGTGAAAACAGCTGTGTTGAGAAAGTGATGCTATAATCCAATTCCCCCTGCAACATCTGCAATCCAGACCCAGATCATGTCAAAGAATGCAATGACAAATATAATCTACCTAATAATAGGGTTTGTGTTTTGTTTTTGTTTTTCCTGCTAAATGCATTTTGTCCAGTGAAACATCTAAGACTTTTCTTTGTTTTTGTTTTTGTTTTTGTTTTGGTTTTAGAGTTGTTGATTTCAACCTCCTGGTTTCCATAGTCCCAAGACCATAGGACAGTATCTTTGGATAATTCCTCTATGCCATTTCCTTGAACTCTGAGATGAGAAATGTCCTTGAGTGCATCCAGTCACAGCATTACCTTCTTCTCCAGAAGTGCCTTCTCAGCTGCAGAGATAGCTCAGGCAGCTGCACAGGTTGTATGTGACCTGGTGTCTCAGGGCCAGGGAATGAGATCAGTGGTGTATGTACATTATAGAATTTGACTAACAGCTCTCTCCCCTGGGCTTCTGTTGAGATTCCCAGAACTTTGGTGAAGTGTGTGTGTGACTCTGTGTGTGTGTGTGTGTGTGTGTGTGTGTGTGTGTGTGTTTATGTATGTCTGGCACTGAGGCAATGTAACCTAGGGGCTGGGTAATGCCCCTGTGCAGAGAGCAGCAAAGGAAGCCTGTCTGCAGTTGAGAACAGTGAAGCATGTAAGGAAGGAGAAGCAGAGAAGATAAGGCAGAGAGTACTGGGTTACTGGTAGCTTTGCAGCTCTTGCCCCAGTCCTCAGGCACAGTCCAGCAGTCTGCACAAACTTCCTTCTGGTTTCTTCATCTCCTTCAATCCTCCACAGTAAAACATCTACCTTTTGTTTCACTATGTTTTCGACTTCGACTTCCCTTTTCTAGCTTAAACTTTTCCCATCTCAATATTTCTTCTAATTATACCTAGGAGTCATCCCCCATAGCACATGTATTGGACACAAAGTATTTATGGTTGCAAAAAAAAAAGGAGTGTACATGAAAAATGTTATAAAAGGAGAATATTTGGGATTGATGAAATGCCACTCTGGAGTATGGCTGCAATAAATTCTCTGGAGAAGGTCTTAGGAATGCAGATTTCAAATGCAAACCACAGATATTCTAATTCATTAGTGCTGAGATGGAACCAGGGAATCTATAATTTTTGTTTTTATTTTACTTTATTTTATTTATTTTTTCCCCTAGATTAAATATTAAGCTCAGGTTATAGAAATATGTATTTTTAAGCTGATTTTAAAAATATGGGATTGGTGTCTGCTGGTCTTAGATGCATGCTAACTACGTTTTTCTTTATATTTTTAATTCAATGCAATGAACATTGATCAAATACTCACTATGTTCCAGTAACTATACTGGGTTTTGTGGGCTAGTATTTTACCGTTGCTGGGGAAATAGATTACATATACATTAGCAATAAACGTGTAACTAACTTGTACGAGGAACCAAGGTAAGTTCCTTTAGCAGAGGTTTAAAAAGTCAGGTGTAGGAACAGAACTGTTTAAAGGCTATAACTTTGTAATCTCATCTTCAACAAAGAACTTGAATTGTCTGTCCTTAACTACAAAAAAAAACCTTTAAGAAGTTTGAGTATAATAGTATCAAAGCCTTTAGAGCAGGCAGATAGATGATTATTTGTATCTTATTTTGTGATTTCTGCGAAATTGTACTAAAAGACATTTCCTTCATGTTCTCTAAGTTTCTAATGAAAAAAACAATAAAATAAATGTATTTTATAATAAACTACTAAAAAATTGTGTCTTTGAAGATAAACTTTACTTTTTCCTTTTTAAAAACAATAATGTATAATTTGTATTTTCCTTTTCCTTTTTTCTGTAGTTGCCAAGAAGTTCACTGCTAAATTTAATGTTCCATTCTTTCTTTTTCTCATGTGATTCATCCCTGACATATCTGCCTTTCTTTGTCTTCTAATTGTTTTTTTTTTCTATCTTTTATTGTTGTTCTTTTAAGTTTGTTGGGGGCTATATTGTAAATTGCTTCAAATCATATTTTGAAGGCAGGTAAGGAATAAATCCTGAAGAGGCATCTGAGAAGTGTCTGCTTTGTGGTAAGGAGTGGTTTTGCCCGGAATCTGCCCCATACAAGTGGGGATATACATCTTGGCTTTGAACAAGTGCTCTACCACAATAGAAAAAGATGAAGTTCAAATATTATTCCATGAGAGTTTCATAAAAGTGCTCAGTCACTGTTAACACCATTATGTCTTCAAATTGAAAAAATAACTATATAGCTAAAAATATATTTGTAGATTTTGCTGAAGATTTTCTGTAAATGAAATCCATAAGTCTTATTCTTGCATGATAGCTCTTTCCCTGGAATTCATATCCTGTAACTTACAATGTTTATTCATTCTCTCATCTGAAAATCTTTGGTAAAGCAAACTATAACACTCATACCAGCTAAAAAATCCTTTGTACTTAAAACTCTAAATTTTAGAAGAATAGAGATCCAAATCCAGATGAAGCATAAAAGTTTATGAATAAAAGAGGAAATGATTAATTTTAAATTTGTAAGATAGTTGCTTCATTTGTGGTACTATTTTAAACTATACCATTTACCTTGGCTACAGGCATATTTGAGTGAATTAAAACTGACAACATAGGTTTTCACTTGCTTAACAAGATATTGAAATAGCACGTGGTTTCTTGTGTGCTGTATTCTAGAAAATACATTACAGTATAATAATATCAAATACTATTTGGATATAGATGTTTTGATTCATAATCATGGGTGCTTTATAAATTTTAGGTGCATTATATAATAAATAGGCTTTAAACCCTGATGACCGGAATAATTGCTTTTTTAATATTTTAAAAAATATTTTAATGTTTCCAAATAATTTCAATGAGCCCTTGAGATTTTTTTAAATAATAAAGTTGGTTTTTTGGTTTGTTTGTTTGAGGCAGAGTCTCATTCTGTCATTCAGGCTGGAGCACAGTGGCACAGTCATGGCTCACTCCAGCCTCAAATTCCTGGGCTCAAGCAATCTTCCTGCCTTAGCCTCCCAAGTAGCTGGGACTACAGGCATGCACCAACACATCTGGCTAATTTTTTAAACTTTTTGTAGTGATAGGGTCTCACTGCATTACCCAGGCTAGTCTCAAACTCCTGGACTCAAGAGATCCTCATGTCTCTTCCTCCCAAAGTGTTAAGATTACAGATGCGAGCCATTGCATCCGGCCAGCTTTTTTATTTATTTATTTATTTATTTATTTATTTATTTATTTATTTATTTATTGAGACAGAGTCTCGCTCTGTCGCCCAGGCTGGAGTGCAGTGGCGTGATCTCAGCTCACTGCAAGCTCCGCCTCCTGGGTTCACGCCATTCTCCTGCCTCAGCCTCCCGAGTAGCTGGGACTACAGGTGCCTGCCACCACATTTGGCTAATTTTTTGTATTTTTAATAGAGACGGGGTTTCACCGTGTTAGCCAAGATGGTCTCGATCTCCCTACCTCGTGATCCACCTGCCTCGGCCTCCCAAAGTGTTAAGATTACAGGCGTGAGCCACAGTGCCCGGCCAGCTTTATTATTTTGATGACATCTGTTTTTTTTCTTTACTTTGGAGGAAAATATTAGTTAGTAATTTGGAAACCTTCTATGTGGTTAGTGGCTTTAAATACATTCGTTTTATTCCTTTCAACACTTCAAGGTAATGATTGCTTTTCTCCATTTCCTAGAGAAGGAAATAGAGGGTCAGAGAGTTCAAGCTTTTGGCCCCATTTTGAACAGTTTACTAATGTGTAAACCACAGTGGGTTTGAGGCAAAATCCCATTCTGTTTCTCACCACCTCATGGGTAACCCCACGTTAGTTGTCCTTCACATGATGTCCTGTGTTGTTTCATTATGACAAGCACACGCATGTCAGAATTGGTAGGATTCTGGGTACCTGGGACTCTTACATTCATCTCCCAACATGCTCCTGTTCCAGATGTAGTCCTGTGGAGTACTCATCAAAAACACCTGAGCTTTTGTCTTCATTTTTACCTCTAAGGAGCAGTGTGATCCTGAGTAACCCACTATAGTTTTTTCACCTGTAAAATTTGGAGATTATATCTGATGATCTCCAAGTTTGTTTTCTGCATAAATTCTATAATTCAGAGAACCCAGTGAAGGAGAAAGAGTGGAAGAACAATTAATAGGATAAGATAATAATAAACTAGACTATTTACAAGGTAATTGAAATAGCAACACATCAATGGAAATCTCACTCTACTTTTTTTTTCTCAAGGCAATGCCATCCGTCTCATGGCTTAAATTAAATATTTCTAAATGTATGTTTCTAATTCAGACCTTTTCTCTGAACTCCAGTAAATTCAACTGTGTATACAGTATTTTCGCTTGGGTATGTCAAAGAAGTCTCAAACTGCACATGTCCAAGATGAGAGTCATTGTCTTACCCTCAGCCCCTTCCCTGGTTTCTGCCTCAGTAAAAATTGCACATGCCAGAAATGCCGGGGTCGCCTTGACTCTTCTTATCCCCCTCTTCTCATATCTGTTGCATCCACAAGTGCTGTCAGCTTAGCTTGGACCATGTATGCTTGTATTTCTCTACTGCAAAATCTTATCTCCGCTTACCTGAACTATCTCATTGATTCCTAACTAGTCTCCACATGCACCTGCACCTCATCCTGCCTTTCTCCAAAGGGCAGCCACACTACTATTTTCAAATTGCAAACCTGTCCAATTAAAATCCATCTTTGATTTTAGGATTAAGACCGAAATTCCAAACAAGATCCCTATGGAAGAAAAAAAGTTTTCCTGTTCTCTCTCTCTTTTTTTTTTTTTTTTTTTGAGATGGAGTCTCACTCTGCCGCCCAGGCTGGAGTGCAGTGGCGCGATCTCGGCTCACTTCAAGCTCCACCTCCCAGGTTCACGCCATTCTCCTGCCTCAGCCTCCCGAGTAGCTGGGACTACAGGCGCCCGGCTAATTTTTTTGTATTTTTAGTAGAGACGGGGTTTCACCGTGTTAGCCGGGATGGTCTCGATCTCCTGACCTCGTGATCTGCCCACCTCTTCCTCCCAAAGTGCTCCTGTTCTCTCTTATGGTCTGTTTATGGTTCTTACTAATTACGATAACAAAAGACAGATTAACAGGAGAAACATACACATTTTCAGAGGGATATGCTGAAGGTATTAGTATTAGGGTGGAAGTTTAGTTATTATATTTGTTATACAAAAATGGAGGATTAGTTGGAGGGTCTTAGATTTTTAGGAAAATTACATCAATCGAGGGGTAACTGTTGGGGTGTTCATGGTTAAAATATGATTTCTGGGCTCTGACTGTATTTCATTTTAGTCTCTGGTTTTTGGGGTTTGGCAAGGGTACGTTTACCTATGTCCTGCTTTTAGGCAGAAAAGGGAAAGGTGGAGAGCCCTTCATGCACTTTCTGTTTCTCAATTGCCTTTACCTCAGAATAATCAATATGCCAAAATGGTATGTTTTTTGGTGGTGTGCTGATCCTCTTCACCCTTAAGCAGCATCCTGGATCAGTCCCTCCCTGCCTCTCAGACCTCATCTGGTATCACTTCCTCTCTTGCTCTCTTGATTCTAGCTATAGAGGTCACTTTTCCATGGCAACTCTGGTCATGGAGACTTATCCCTGCTCTGCTTTTTCCTCCATCTAAAATGCTTTCCCTCCTTTTCCCCTATGCCCAGTTGAGACCCACTCACCTTAGGTCTAAGCCAGTATATATATATATATATATATATATATATATATAGAGAGAGAGAGAGAGAGAGAGAGAGAGAGAGAGAGAGAGAGATGGAGTCTTGCTCTGTGGCCCAGGCTGGAGTGCAGTCGCGCAGTCTCAACTCGCGCCATCTCAACTCACTGCAACTTCCGCCTGCCAGGTTCAAGCGATTCTCCTGCCTCAGCCTCCCGAGTAGCTGGGACTACAGGCACCTGCCACCACGCCCGGCTAATTTTTTGTATTTTTAGTAGAGACGGGGTTTCACTGTGTTAGCCAGGATGGTCTCGATCTCCTGACCTCGTGATCTGCCCACCTCTTCCTCCCAAAGTGCTCCTGTTCTCTCTTATGGTCTGTTTATGGTTCTTACTAATTAAGATAACAAAAGACAGATTAACAGGAGAAACATACACATTTTCAGAGGGATATGCTGAAGGTATTAGTATTACGGTGGAAGTTTAGTTTTTATATTTGTTATACAAAATGGAGGATTAATTTAGTTGGAGGGGCTTAAGATTTTTAGGAAAATTACGTCAATCAGGGGGTAATTGTTGGGGTGTTCATGGTTAAAATATGATTTCTGGGCTCTGACTGTGTTTCATTTTAGTCTCTGGTTTTTGGGGTTTGGCAAGGGTACGTTTACCTATGTCCTGCTTTTAGGCAGAAAAGGGAAAGGTGGAGAGCCCTTCATGCATTTTCTGTTTCTCAATTGCCTTTACCTCAGAATAATCAGTATGCCAAAATGGTATGTTTTTTGGTGGCGTGTTCTGATCCTCTTCACCCTTAAGCAGCATCCTGGATCAGTCCCTCCCTGCCTCTCAGACCTCATCTGGTATCACTTCCTCTCTCACTCTCTTGATTCTAGTTATAGAGGTGACTTTTCCATGGCCACTCTGGTCTTGAAGATTTATCCCTGCCCTGTTTTTTCCTCCATCTAAAATGCTTTCCCTCCTTTTCCCCTATGCCCAGTTGAGACCCACTCACCTTAGGTCTAAGCCAGTTTCTATATATATATGTATATATATATATGTGTGTGTGTGTATATATATATATGTGTGTATATATATATGTGTGTGTGTATATATATATGTGTGTGTGTGTATATATATATATATATATAGAGAGAGAGAGAGAGAGAGAGAGAGAGAGAGATGGAGTCTTGCTCTGTGGCTCAGGCTGGAGTGCAGTTGCATGATCTCAGCTCACTGCAACTTCTGCCTTCTGGGTTCAAGCGATTCTCCTGCCTCAGCCTCCCGAGTAGCTGGGATTACAGGCATGCACTGCCACGCCCAGCTAATTTTTGTAGTTTTAGTAGAGACGGGCTTTTGCCATGTTGCCTGGGCTGATCTCAAACTGCTGACCTCAAGTGATCTGCCCACCTCGGCCTCCCAAAGTGCTGGGGTTACAGGCCTGAGCCACCGCACCCAGCCTCTTATATGGTTTTATAAAACCACACTCTTCTCTTTCAGAGTATTTCCCTCCATTTTATAATTATAAACTCATGAACAGTAAGTAGTATTTGATTAATCGCCTTCCAGATGATAGTGTAAACTACAGGAAGCTTCCATGTACCCACTCTGCTAACCCCTGTACCATAAAGAGCATCTAACATCAGAGGGGTTCATTAATATTTGTTAGATGGGTGAATAATAATTATACTTTTTAGAAGGAATATTTGCATTCATATGGTCACTTTTGTGATTGTATGGCTTTATCAACAAATGTAAATTATTTGCATTTTTAAAAAGACCTTTTGTTAATTTTTTTTGCCCTTTAAATATTGTTCAAGTGAATAAAGGAACTTCTCTGAAATTATTTTATTCACAGTATAAATCATAGGAACAAGAACCTAGGCATTACTCCCTTGTTTTCTTTGAAGTGGGTATCTGAAGTCTGCTGTACCTCAGGATCTGTGGAATCCTATGTGTTAACAATAAATTAAACATCGTTCAGGAGCCTACTGTGTGTGAGCGTTTTGTCAGGCCTAGCGATACAGAGAATTAAGCCATGCTGTCTGTCCTCGAGGGGATCACAGTCTAGGGAGGAGAAGGACAAATCAAGAAAGTGAGATAATTTCCACAATAGAGGTAAACCCAGAGGGCTGCAGGAGTGTGTGGAATTTCACTCAGGTTCCTGGGGTCAGAGGCTTTTCTTGGAGATGGTGATGTCAGAGCTTCATTGTAAAGCCTGAGTCAGACTTAGCCAGGGAAAAGAGGAGCGCCTGTGCAACAGCTCGAAGGTGTGAAAGGGTCTGGCGAGCTCTGGGAACTCCAAATATTGTCGCGTGACCTTTGCACAGGATGAGGTGTTTGGAAAGTGCAGAGGGATGACTCCAGAGAGGAAGGCAGAAGACAACAGTTAGAATCTGGAGGAGTTCAAATTTCATCCTGAAAAGAGTAAAGAGCCATTGAAAATTTTGAGCAGGGAAATAGCAGTATTTGTTTTTCTTTTTTTTTTTCCAAACATATTCCTCTGGGTGGGGGGAAATGTAGAGAATAAACATCAGATGGTAGAAAAGGGAGACAAGGCTGGGTACTGTGGCTGTAGTCTAGAGCAGAGATGATGAAGGCTTGACCCAAGGCAGGCCAGTGAGATTTAAGAAAAAATAGGATGCACGGGAGACTTTCAGGACATAGGAAGGACTTCATTACTAACTCAATGGGAGGATTAGGGGTGGTGGTGCGGGAAGTGAGGGGGGCAGGTGAGTTAAGGGAGAAGGCCCTACCAACAGTGATGTCACCCATATGTATGACTTTGACAATGAATGCACCACTATGCCTTTCACATTGGGAAACACAAGAGATTCTCTCTTCCTTTCTTTCTTCATGGAGAGAATGACGAAGGCATGATATGTTTTGGCTATATTCACTTTCAGGCAACGTATGTAGAACAACCAGATGAGATGCCCTGGAAACTGTTGGATATACAGGTCTGAAATTTAGAGGGATTTATTCACACACATATTTGAAACCAATGAATACATGAGATACCTGTTGGAGTTGTGTGTGGAATGAGAAAATCAAGTCGCTAAAGATGATGGGCCTCTATGGAACAGAAACACCGAGGGGAGCACAGAGCCCACAGTTCCTGTGTGCTTGCTGTTAGTTTCTGGCCTTAGTTCACTTGGAGCAGCAAGGGAAGCAGGCTCAAGGGAAGATGTTCTGGGGAACCATAAAGACCGCTTGTAAGTAACCAGGAATCCCATTGTGCTATGTCTTGAGATCTAGCATTCAGTGGATAGGACTCCAGTGGTTTTATTTGAGTCTTAACAAAGAGAACCAGTCAGCACATGAAGTCCAAACCTTCCACCACTCTGCCTCTTTCAAAATGGGTCATGATTGGTGCATAAGAAAGTATGAGGGAGGCCAGGTGTGGTGGCTCACGCCTGTAATCCCAGCACTTTGGGAGGCCGAGGTGGGCAGATCACCTGAGGTCAGGAGTTCGAGACCAGCCTAGCCTGGCCAACATGGCAAAACCCCATATCTACTAAAAAAAATATAAAAAATTAGCCGGGCATGATGGTGCGGGCCTATAATCCCAGCTACCCGGGAGGCTGAGTCAGGAGAATTGCTTGACCCTGGGAGGCGGAGGTTGCAGTGAGCCAAGATCACGCCACTGCAGTCCAGTCTGGATGACAGAGAGACTCTGTCTCAAAAATAAATAAATAAATAGAGTGTGAGAGAGAAGCTGTCCCCGAGTTCATGATGTACAAGCTTAAAACCAATGTTTTGTTAAACTTCAGGTAATATCTCTGGAAATATCCACCACCACTGCCCCCAGCCTATCCATATTAACCTAGCTAGGAATGAAACATACTTAACCAGCAGGATGTTACAAAATGTTCTCGTGTTCTTGATATTCATTAATTCTACCATTCTACCATAGAGAAAAATGAGGCTTTCCCTATTGGATGAATTCCATTCTCCTGCATGGATTCATTGGAAAGTTACTATGCTTCCAGTGTAAGCCATAGCAGAAAAGAAACCAGAATTCCCTTCTCAATTCCTTGTAATGATGTAGGTTTTCATTAAACTGGAATTTGACTTGCCTGTAAAGCAGCCCACTGTGATTATAAAAGTCTGTAGGACTGCCTGTTGGCGGCGATCAAATAAAAAGGCCCCTATTAAATCAGGTCACTGAATGTGTTTGAAGATGGAACTTCCTGAACTAATTGGCAGGAGCCAAAAAGGCAGGTATTCACTCCAGATCATCAAGCACTGTTAATAGGGAAGAAAATGGTCAGAAATTAATAGGGAGTTCTTTTCAGCCATTTCTGTGTTTCATCTGTTTCTGTCTTGTATTTTTCATTAGTTTAGGAAGGTTCTTCATCATAAAAATGTTGATAATTAAGGCACGGAGTCTCATTGCCCTCTTCTGTTGAAATTTGACTTCTAGTCCTTATCTGATTTGGTTACTTTTAACATGCTCTCTTACCAAAGGATTATCACCAACTGGTAAGAGCAAAATTTGAGGTCAGAAGAGTTGTCTAATAGTCCAAATGTCATATGAGTGTGACTGACCTTAAGTCTTAAGGTTCATAAGAATGTCTTTAATTCTGTACAGCTCAATTCCTGCTATTTTTTCCTCACTGTTCTATCTTCTCAGCAAGTTTGATAACAAAGGAAGCCCTAATTAGTGACATGTTGACTTCAATTGCATAGACATAGGACCTGTTATATTTAATATCATTAAATATGGAAGAATTGTTCATATTTTACTATTTTGGTCCTCTAACAGTGTGACCAGTTCTCTGTGATGACTTGTTTTCAGCCACGTATATGAAAACTGAGCAGTATATGAGTTTTAAAGTCAAGTTGACCTTAAATGTCACAATTTGAATATATCTTGCCTGTTACCCCTTATCCCTCTCAGGGTTGGATGAATATGTCTCAGTGTTATGGAAAGATGATTAATTAACGTAGGCTTAAACTTGTCACAGGGGCAGTCGTACATGTAAGAAGGAGCAAACTTGGTAAAATGGACTGGGCCAATGCAAGTTTTACTGAGGACAGTCTGCATTTAATTGTTTTTGAGAACAACTTTTAAGGAACCTTATATAACTTAAGCCTGCTTATTATATTTGGAGTCAGTTTGAAGAAGATAAGAATAAGTAAGGTGGAATATTTTTCTGTGACGCCTATAAGACCGCCTAGGTGGTTCTAAGATGCTTCTGAGACTCCTTTCTGAAACTGACAACTAATTGTGAGTTTTTTTTCATTCATCATAGGAATGACTAAAATGGGTTCTATAGAAATTAAGAGAGAAATAGATTGCTTTTGAAAACAGTTATAAAACATTGTGTCAGAAATTATGCTTGTAATATTTTTCTTTTATAACATCCCAGAGAAAATTCAAGGATACAAACAGATAATGTACAAATAAATAAGAAAGAAAGAGTATACTAAAAATATTGGTAGTTCTTAAAGTTCATTAGGAAAAAAATTAATTCTTGCAGAAAACAGGAAATGTTAACTAGATCCGCAAGAGACATGACCAATTTGCAAAAAGCTAGTCCTTTCTTTTTCATCTTCTTCACACATCCTCTCTGACAGAACTGAGTAACTATGCAACTTGCACATAATAACTACATAGCCAATCGAGCTGCGGAACAAGAGGGGAAAGTGAGATGTCACATAGTCAAATGGACACTTCAATTAACCTTGCTATGAAAGAGTCTATATTCCCCTAATGGTTGTTACTCTTTCCTTATTGTAAATTAGCACCTTGAAGTGGTTAGAAATAGTAAAGAATGTTAATCTCAACCACTTGGGCTCTGACATAAAACTTTCTTTTCTTTTCTTTTTTTTTGTCTTGTTTTGTTTTGTTTTGTTTTGTTTTGTTTCTTTTTCTTTTTCTTTTTTTTTTTTTTTTGAGACAGAGTCTCGCTCTGTCGCCCAGGCTGGAGTGCAGTGTCATGATCTTGGCTCACTACAACCTCTTGCCTCCCAGATTCAAGCAAGCCTTCTGCCTCAGCCTCCCAAATAGCTGGGATTACAAGCAGGTACCACCACACCTGACTAATTTTTGTATTTTTAGTAGAGACAGGGTTTCACCATGTTGGCCAGGCTGGTCTTGAACTCCTGACCTCAAGTGACCCGTGTGCCTTGGCCTCCCAAAGTGCTGGGATTACAGGCATGAGCCACTGCACCCAGCCTAATATAATTCTTTTTCTAATAGCTAAATCCTGCTGGGCAATGACAAAGTTCTCATTGTATTTGTAGAGAAATAATTTATCTTATCTTATATCATAGTTGTACATATTTTGGCAGTACATGTGATATATTGATACATATATAAAGTGGGTAATGATCAAGTCAGGGTAATTGGGATATCCATCACTTTAAATATTTATCTTTTCTTTGTGTCAGGAACATTACAATTCTTCTCTTCTAACTATTTTGAAATACACAACAATTATTGTTAACTGTAATTTCGATAATGTACTATTGAATACTAGAACTTACTCCTTCTATCAGACTGTATTTTTGTACCTGTTAACCAACTTCGCTTTATCACCCCTCACCCTTCCCAGCCTCTAGTAACCATCACAGTAATTAGAGAAATGATTTGTTTTTAAATGTGGTTGGATCCATCTGATACGACCAAGATGAAAGACAAGCTCTGACTTATTTTCACCAGAATGTTCGAAGGAACAGTACAAAATTGGCAATATCTAAATGCTTTGATTTTAGCTTTGGTTTTCTTTGTAGCCATATATTCTAGTCTCAGGGACTGTTTTCTTTTCCTAGATAGCTGTCGCTTGTGGTGCTGCTTCTGTGTAGTGCCTTCTGAACATGTGAATTTGCCATTTTATATTTGGAGTGAATATTATTGGGACTGGAGGTGATTTTGGATTGGGAAAATAAAACCTTCACAGCTTCCATTGACTTACAATATCTCAAGGGAATTACAATAATTACATAATTACAATAATTCCTTTGAGATATTTCTGTGCAAGTAACTCAGGTGTATCGACTTATTCCCAAACTTAGCTGGACCCTTTGTCTTCTGAATAACTCTATTCCATAAAGGGAAAATTCTTTCCAAATACATAAATATGTCTATCAACATCTACAAAGAAGCCTTCTCTCTGACTACCAACTGTGTTGATTGACTGAAATGGTTCTATTATGCTATCCTTTACCTGGAACACCATACCTTCTCCCTGTGATGGCCTTGGTAAAGGGAAATTCTTCTCAGTACAACCAAATCATTTTATTGCTGTGTGGCCAAAAGCAGTAAATAAATCTCTGGAGATGAATTATTTTACTTAAGATTGTAAACTGTACTCAACAGTAAATCATTAATGATGGACCAAAATGCACATTTTTCTGCAACATATATCACTGTGCCTACAGAATACTGTTTGCCTATCCTTAAGTACTCTCTGAAAAAGACTCCAAGAATCATAGGAATGAACTTCCTGTTCTCTCATCCCTACATGGGAACCTGACGTGATCCATTCATTGTGCAGGCACAAGGCCAAGAGTCTATGAAGAAATATTGAACTTCACTAAGATTGTAACTTTGTTTCTTGACTTTGAGGAAAGGGGAAATCGATGTACTTTATTTAGTGTTTCCCCAAACCTCTAATACATTTCTACCCCAAATAGGCCTCTCCATGGCAGTGTTTGGGACTGTTTTGGCAGGTTAAGGAGTGGCATAAAAGGCAGCAAACATAGTGCAGGCATAAACAAACAACTTTCTGGAAGTTTGGGGGATCCCAGCTGGTGTTGAGTTTTATCTTAGCTAGCATTTAAATGTTATCTTTATAGGCATCTGGAATTTTCAAACTTGCAGATTATGTCAGACTGTACTAAAAAGTGGGCATCTAAGCCAAGAAAGAAAAAAAGATGAGAACATTGAGATATGTGAAGAACAGAAAGTTATCAAGAGAGATCCAGTTGACCCACATAGAAAATAATACATTTATGAAAAATAATGCAAAGGTGACTTTTGGGAGGGCAGGTTCAGCACTAACAGTTAAGGCCCATTAAAGGGACCCAAGGGTCACGGATAGCCTAGTTCATAAAGTCACCGCTCCAGTGTGCTCCCGTGATCAATAAGACCACGTAAGGTCTTGAGTGAGGTGGGAGGATATTGGACAGAAAAAGAAAACAATCCTACCCATATTCGAAACCACGTGAATATGGGCTCCTCAGGCCATAAATTAAATTAGGACCATTTTATGCTATTTTTAAATCCAGTCTTCAGGCAGACTTCACAGAGCTTGAGAGGTTCCATAAGAAGGCATTCCTTGAAAAGGAAGCTTTCAGACATAAAAGAGATGTTAGTAATTTACTTAGCCTATGTAATTAAAAGGTAGAACTTGTTACCAGTCATGTGTTAAAAATATATATGGTTCTAAAAGAGTGACTCTGGATAACGCATACACAACAGATGAACAAGAAAAAAATGGTATATTTGGACTTTATCCTTATTTTTTATGGTGATGTCACTGGACAATTCAGTATTTCTAACTGGTGTATGGAACACATAGAAGGTGAGCAAAAACTGAAAAGATTATTATAGTTTTTACCATTATTATTAATGACTTTATTACCACCTCCAGAGGCTTGGATTAAGCCCAGATTTAGACATTTTCTTACGTCCTAGGTAGTTAATCTATTGCAAGGCCAAAAAATTACTTATGTTAGATTTGCTATAGTATCGGCATAGGTTTTCTTATCAGATAGCCAAAGGGTATTTTTTGAATTCTTAGCTATCACTTTCATTAAATAATAATTATTTTCTACATTCTCAAGGTACCTTATAGCCTTTTACACTCTTTAATGTGTCTTTTTTTTTTTCTATTCCTCACAACAAATGACTATACATATCAAATGGAAATCTTCCAGGAAGATAAAAGGTTTATTAATTGTTTTTTTCATGCCTCATCCTTTAAATTTAAGATCATTATCTATTGATATTAATTTTTGTCCTAAATAAATCCCATTTTGACTTTCTTAGCCTTTTTTTATGATGATGATGTCAATACTCATTGGATGCCATCTGGACTGTTACTGAAAGAATAAAATCGTCAAAGTCAGAGGCAATATTGCAAATTTGTTTTGGGAGATTTAACTGATGCAGACATATTACATTTTCATTTTGTAGTAATCTTCTCTTGAAATTGTTTCTCACAAATATTGGCTATTCTTTAAAGCAACAGACCTGAGAAGTTTAATTCTGTTCATTGGTGAGTTATTTTTTTAAATCCTAGAGATTATAGGCTGCTAAAATAAATAAATAAATAAATAAATAAAAGCCTATGGGGTGAGGGTGGGGATGGCTTGCTCTCTTTGAATTAATGCATTAACATTGCTTTCTTCTGAATTGCTAGTCCGGATGTGTTTTTGTAAAATGCTGATTTATCAGACAGCACATTCAAGGTGCATGTATAATCTACTGTTTTGCAGTGCCTTTTTATTCTGATGACATCATTTGGTTTTCTCCTCATGCCTCTTTCTGTTTAATCATAAGTAGAAGAGCTCCAAATTTTTACCTCCTAATAATTCTAGGAGAGAGAACTGTCCCTGTCTCACTGTCCCTGTCCTTAGCCTTTCTCTCATCATAGCCCCCTCCCCAAGCTAGCTGGCATTAATCATTCCTTTTCTTGCATTTTCCTAGCACTCTGTTCTTCTTCATGGAATTTTTCTTACCTGACATTTTATTCTCGATGGACATGTGATATGATCCTTAATAACGGCTTTAAGCACCTGGAGTACAAGAATAATCTCTCATTTCAATTTGCGTCCTCTTTAGTAATCAGTGTTTGGCACACAGTAGACATTCAGAAAATGTTAATGACTTCTCATAGGACAGCTGATGTCCCCAGCACTCAGGTGCATCCACAAAAATTTCACTTTCCGATTCATTGGCTGTGGAAAGAGCACTCAGTGTAATTATTTGCTCTGTTGGCATCCGGTGCTGCACATCGCTTTTATCTCAGCAGGGAACACTAGAGAGATAGGAACTCGGTTTTGCTGTCTGTTACTAGCTTAGACGCATTTCAGGATGAAGAGCCAGGAAATTAAATACAAGTTTCAAATTCCTCCAGAGCCCCCCAAACACTCTCCATTTAAATTTTGTCGTTTGGTTTACAGTTAATTTTTAGAAGATTGGATATTCTCATTCAAATGTAAGTATTCCTCTGTCTGAGTAGTGGAAAGAGTACATACCGGTGGTAGAGGGGCCTGGATTTTCGTGCCATTTCTCCCGTTGCAAATGAGAACATTATATTTTAAACGGCAGCCCTGGCTCTGATGCATATATGATTGTGAAAGTGTTTTGGTCATAAGTGCTGTCAGCAACTACTAGCATTTATTAAGTGCTCATACTCTACCAGCATTCAGTAAGTATTCCTTAAATGTATTAATTTATATATTTATGGTCTTATAAGTAAACAGAAGTTAAATAACTTGGTCCAGGTGTTACTGTTAGTAATAGAGCTGATATTTAAATCTTGGTTAATCTAATATATATGGAACAAGGAAGAATAAATAATACAGATCACCTGCACATGTACCCCCTGAATCTAAACAACAACAACAAAAGTGCTACCAGATTAGGATATGTATATGTATGTGTATATACACACACACACACACATAACTTACGTGTGTGTGTGCATTATGTGTGTATAGATATCTAGGACCACAGACCACATATTATATAATACATAATATGCTGTATATATATTTTATATATACTATTTTGGTGATCTGTGCTTTTGTAGTATCAGTTTATGCCACACACACACACACACACACACACACACACACACACACACACAGAGACCAGAAGCACATATCACAGGAAAAATATGTTATATGTTTTTATATATATTGTATATTATCTATATTTCCATGGTCAGTGCTCCTCTGATCTCTCTCCATCTAAACAACATATATATTATTTATATATTAATATATAATATTTCTGTATATGCCCATAGATGCATACACAACAATTTGATTCCATAGAAGCACAGGCCATGGAGATCTATAAATATATATTATATGTAATTAAATATATTTTATATGACATATAATATTACGTATACATGGTATATATATCTCTCTCTCTCCAATAAGTCAGTGGTCTGTGTTTCTGTTTCTTTCCACCCTGTAATTCAGCATCATGTGACGTCATAAAATAATCTGAGTTCTTTCCTGTTTTTTGCTTCATTCTGCACTTAGTTTGGAAAATGCTTTCTTTGAAGAAAAGTCACCCCGGTAAGAGACTTCTCAGGGTAGGGGTGACACGGATAGTGATCCAGACGCTTTCTTTTTCTTTTTTTGGAGACTCAATTATTTTACAAGCAACGTCTTTTTCACTTTACCCAGTGAACAAGTGGCATGCTTATTTAGCAGAGAGCAGCCACCAGTGGAGGAGAGGCAAACAGCGCACAGAGCTGTGCTGAAGGATAACAGTGTGAAAACAGAACAGAAACAGAGAGCAATCGCTGGAGGGCTGAAGAAGTGTGACTATCGCTGGTCCCTGTGGCTTCCAGAGGCCCAGTCCCTGAGCCACGTACACTGGACCACGATCCCTTTTTCCTCCCCTTCCACTGTCCCTGAACAGCAGAGAGAGGAACAAAGAGATCCAGTGTTCCCAGAACCCAGGCCAGATCTTGACACATCCAGAATTCCACAGTAGTATGCCCATCCCTTCTCTCCAAGTACTGTGATTTGGAGACTTATTATTAATCACACAGAACATATTTTTATCCAGTTAGCCATTTTTGTGTCATCCGTTCATTCTTTATTCTTTGGGTCAAATTTCTGTGAACCCTTATCCATTTTCATGACAGCCCAGCTTGTTTACAGGGAAACAGTTTTACTTTCTGTGTAAATTAAGATTTTGTTCTAACTTCCTTTTGTCACATTTTGTTATGGAGGAATATTTGGGCTAGCTGTTTATTTTTAAAAGTATTATCATGAACCCTTTTCTTACAAAAATTATGTGTGAAATTATTATTCTGAGGTAATCCTACTTTTACCCTGTACATAGCACTCAAGTGATAAAAAAGAATAGTTGGTATAAGAGGGTTTGTTTTGACCAGGGAGAGGCAGAAAAGCGAAGTTATAAGGTTGGACTTTTAGTTTTGTCTCTAGCTTGTCATCTGTAATTAATGTAGAGCATGACCTCTTTCCTCAACTGAAGATTTGGGGAATGATTGACACAAAGTCAGATTTTTACCATGAGAACAAAAATGACAGTTTTGAAAGTTACACTCTTTCTTTTGAGGCGTTGGAGTTTCTCACCGACTAAAATTTTTCCCACTGCTTATTGCAGAGGGCTTGATTCTCATGTGAAATGATCTGATAAGCAAAGAATTATCAGAATGTAAACAGAAATCAATTGGCCATTGGGTGCACCGGTGATCACGGACAAAATACTCTTCCTTTAAACAGAAACTATACACTCAGTTTGTATCTAAATGAATGAACACTAAATTAAGTCCAAAGATCACTAGTGTGATTTTAGGTCTAATTCTTATTGATATGAGCAACAAATTCTCACCTCTTTCATTAATATCACTGGGAATTTAAACTTTGATATTGATTCACACTGAACACTATATGAGAATGTTGTATATCTAGCTTCAGATCGTCTGTTCAGAGATTGCTCCGAGTGAGGAGCCCACAAGTATTTATCATAGCCATACTAAAATTCCAAATGTGAGAGCAAACTTTCAATTTGAACTAATTAGGGAGGAATGTAAGACAGTTTATCATTAAATGTAGAGTTGTTCCTGTCTGTGGATTTCAAAGTGAAGGGAAGCCATCAGGAGGGCTGGGTTAACCCGGGAAGGACTCAACCAGGAAAAGGCAAAGAGAGAGAGAGATGGGGAGGTAAATGGATAGCAACCTAGAAGAGGCTCCATTCGAGAAACGTAAAACCTGAATCAAAGAGAATAAGCCACGTTGCATACATCATGCCAGGTACAGCTCACTCTCATGCTCCATGGCCTCTCTGTGGGGTCCTCCAGGAGGGCTGCCCTATGTTCAGTGCCATCTTAGGGAGGCCTGGAGTGTTAAGCCATCGCAAGTTGGAACCTGAAAATTGCCAATTTCAAATGAATTTGGAGTAGAATGGGGTGATGGATGTATCACTCCAAGAGCCAACCTAGAAGATATGTTCAAAAGGAGTTGTACTGACAGTTTAAAAAGTTTGGAAAGTAAAGCTTGGTGTAAACTTGATGTAAAGCACCTGGTCACTTTCACTCCACAGTACCTCAAGGTGATGAGCTATTTTGGTAGCTCTTCCTAGTAGGACAATTCTCATAACCCAGACATCTTCATGAAATTGTGTAAAGGTATACTGACTACTGTCTTTCAGAACAAATTTCCTTTTAGAAAAATCATCTAGGGCAAGCTTGTCCAACCCATGGCCCACAGGCTGCATGTGGCCCAGAATGACTTTGAATGTGGCCCAACACACATTTGTAAACTTTCTTAAAACATGATGAGACGTTTTTGCATTTTTTTTTCTTATCAGGTATCGTTAGTGTTAGTGTGATTTATGTATGGCCCAAGACAATTCTTCTTCTTCCAATGTGGCTCAGGGAAGCCAAAATACTGGACACCCCTGATCTAGGGCCTGTATATGGAAAATTCTGAGATGACTGAACCCTGAATTGCACATAGAAGGGTCTCCTTTCTCTCTCTTTTTCTCCTCGTCAAAAGGGGGTTAGGGTTAGGGTTAATAAAAGGTTAATTCCCAAGTATAAAATCTTTTGGTTTTCAAGTTTTTGTTGCTCGACCTATTTCTTCTTATGTTAGTCTTAAGCCTTAGACAACCCAAAAGTGAGTTAAAAATAGAACTAACATTTTCTTTAAAAGTTTAAAGAATCTTCCACTTTTGGATGTGAGTGAGATTTTCTTTAATATTCGACTTTTCCCCCTTCTTTTTTTGGCAGCCTTTAAATGTACAAATCTCATTGAAGTCATTCCAGGCTGAAAAGCATTTAAGAACAAATATCATAAAGCTAAAAATAAATATTCTACTCTTTCTGTAGAGGCTATTGGATATTTCTCTTAACATTCTGGTCAGGTGGCCTTTTAGCAAGAGATGGATGCTAAGAGTTGTGGGGGGCAAATGCAGTGGGAAGCTCAGTAAATAATTCAAAAATAGCTACACTCCAAACCAGCCTTCTGTGCTAAGCAATTTGGCTTAATTCAAAACTTAAATTTTTTTTTAAGTGGTGATGCAGCCAAAACTCCAGGGCCAGTATTATCTTACACTAATTGTAGCTACCGCATATACTGGCTTAAAAGCCTTCTCCCCTTTTCCTGGCAACATTTCCTTGGATTTCCTTTGTGTAACAACCTGACCTGACTCTCGGTTCATATGGTTTGAGCAGGGCAACCCAGTCCTCTGGAGTGAGGGTGAGGAGGAGGAATGTGACTCAGGTTTGGCAAGTCAGAGACTTGTGGCCAGTACTTTCGCTAGAACTGTTGGGGAAAGAGAATATTTCTGCACTGATTGCTAAGCTGTTAGGTGTAAACACGAGAATGAAATCTGTCTGAACGTGAAGCCAGTACAGAAGAGGGAAGAACCTAACAATTGCGTTTGAATACCTGGCTCCAGCTGTACCTGAAGCTTTGCAGCTACTGAGACATTAAATTCCCACTTCCTTTAGTTTAACTTGGGTTTCTGGTAATTGAGTTTTGAATAATAGATCCCTCTTCAGTATCCTTCTCTATTCCTCAATCCTCACCAATTTTCAAGGGATTCTTTGCATCTGACACCAATTTGGTTATTTTTATTTTTATGTTTTTACCCTTGGCTGAAAATTTTCTTTTAAAGTTGCATACTTCTATTTCTTTGGGTGGCATAAACCAAAACAAAGCACCATTGTTCCTCTTAAAATTAAAACAAACTAAGAGACAGGAGGGCATGATGGCTCAAGCCTGTAATCCCAGCACTTTGAGGGGCTGAGATGGGTGGGTCACTTCAGGTCAGGAGTTTGCCAGCCTGGCCAACATGGCAAAACCCCATCTCTACTAAAAATACAAAAATTAGCCAGGCCTGGTGGCACATGCCTGTAATCTCAGCTACTCGAGAGTCTGAGGCACGAGAATCACTTGAACCTGGGAGGCGGAGGTTACGGTGAGCTGAGATCGTGCCACTGCACTCCAGCCTGGGCAACAAAGCAAGACTCTATCAAAAAAAAAAAAAAAGGAACGAAGAGACAAAGACAGAAAGACAGTTAATCATCTCTACTTTTATCGCTAAGGTACGGCATAAACTTGGCTTGCCACAATTGCAGAGATTCAAAGAAGGAAGACGGCATTTATAATGAATATTGAAAGGTGAATTAATTCCACAGGGTGTTGTCTGTTAACTTATTAACTGTATGACTGTAATCAGGTTTCTGTATCTTTTTCTTACTCCCAGACCCTGGAAAGACTAGGACATAAGCCTGGGTGGTGCATGCTCTTGTTCCCACTGAAATTTTGCAGATTCACCCGATTCCAAGGGACTTTCACCACATTACTGACAATAAAGAATAAGAATTGTGTTTTATCTGCCCTGGCATCCAGTGTCAAGGGTCCTAGTATAGAATACTATACTCTGAAAATGTTTGCTGAACAAGCTAGTTTATCTAACTTTGTAGCCAAAGTGTACATTTGTTGTATGTAGCCACCTCTTCAATACTGATTTTTTTTTGAGCACCTTCTGTAGTCAGGTTCTGTGAAATGCACTAAGAATACAAGAAGGATGCATATTCCACCCACCTGTGCTGGGAATTTATCATTACAGATGGAAAACTGGCCAGTAGAGTTAGTCTCCCGTTCTTCCCCAAACCAATAGAAGCTGCAATAAAGAAATGTTCGAAAGGTGGTAATCCACAAGGACAAGGAGAACAGGACAGAAGGAAATAATGAATGAAAGATGTGGGGTTTTTTTTGGAATAAAGGAAGGGAAGTGATGGAAGAGCAGTAATTGCCTTAGCAGAAAGGATAGAGCTACAACCCAGCTCTCAACATGGAGATACCTGTGATTAATGAACCAGTTTGCCCCATGGAACTCAGCACCATGAGAAATGAGATTGAGGAACAGGGCTGGAAAGAGATGGATTTATTGTAAGAATGGATCTAGAGGAAGCTAGATCTCCAGGGTCTTCCCCTACTCCATGCAGCCTCCCAGGGAGGCCACAGAGGTTTATTATTTGAAAATACTGAGAAGCTCCTGACTTGAGAACACCAGACAGTGGCAAGACCTGGGATAGAAAAGGCATGTAAATACATGCCTATATTACTGAACTTGGAGAGCTTGACCTCCTTTCTCCATCCTGCCTCTGGTGCTATCGTGTGCATATTACCTGGCTGGGAGCTTAGGGAGTCCCCTCGAGAAAAGACAGGTGCATAAATACACACACCTGGAGAAAAGCATTGATTCAGCTTCAGTAACCCAGCATATACTTCTTCAGGGTCTCATCCCTGTCCCCACAGGACACCATCAACCTGGAGGGACCGGAAAACACGCATCACAGGGAGTGAGCCACTCTGTAGTTGAGAAGTCAATTTCATACTAGAGCTGAATGGTTTTACGGTCCGCAGCTGTATCCAAGAAGGGCGAGGGGGAAAATTCCATGCCTCACTGGTACCAGGTAGGTTGATGGGAAAGAGCCTCATGACAACCTTCGGCAGGACACAGAGCCTCCTGCAAGATAGGGAGGTGGATGTGAAATGGCCTGCGACAGCCGTGGATAGCTTGCTCATCATGCCATGTTCCAGAAAGGAAAACAGAGCATTCTGCCCAGACACGGTTCCAACGCCATTGAGTCTTGCCTACATGGCTTTTGTGGGAGCATGCAACGCCACAGGCCACTTTGGCCAGGGCATCCCCTACAACTATCACCACTCAAGGTCTTTTAGAAATTTCCAGCACTGTGGTATTTTAATGAAAAATGTAGCTTTTACCTCCACCTGGCTTAACTCATCAGGTGTGCTCTGTGTTTATCAGATGTCTTTCAAGGTATATGTACCAGTTAGATCACTTGGTGGTTGGTCTGTAATGAGGGATGTCATAAAGATGGCTTTCCAGCTCTCTCTGTTTCTGAAAAACTAATAATTCCAACTTACTCTAGTAAATTTCAAAGTGAGAAGAAATTTTTCAATAAGACAAAATAAAATTCTAATTAACAACTATCACATAGTATATTCTTTCCTCTTCTTTCTTTCTTGTTTTTTTTTTTTTTTTTTTTTGACAGGGTCTCACTCTGTCATCTGTCAGGCTGGAGTGCAATAGTGTGATCATAGCTCACTACAGCCTTGAACTCCTGGGCCCAAGGGATCCTCCCATCTCAGCCTCCCAAGTAGCTGGGTCTACAGGCACATACCACCATGCCCAGCTAATTTTTTTTAAATTTTTTTGTAGAGATAGTAAAATTATACCTTAAAATTAACTGAACACCTAAGGCTTAACGAAGATTCTACACAGTGTTTTATTGGAGTCTTTCAAAAGACTTGTGAGATAAGCAGAGCTGACTTCATCTTCATTTTACAGTAAAGTGACTAAAGATCAGAGAATAAAAATGTTTTGACAAAAACATCACTGCTAGTAAATACAAAAAAAAAAAAAACACTTAAACATAGGCCTGACATATTTTTACTTATTTGTAATTATATTTGAACTCATACATGTTCTCTAAGGCATAAAAACAGAAACTAAGGAGTTTTGTAAACCAGATTCTACATTTTTTTATTTTTTTAGGCTAATCTAGCTTTCTATTCGGGTCAGTTCCTAATAGAGACCACAGAATGTCTACTAAATCACTGCCATGAAAGGTGAATGGATTTCTTTTCATTTTTTCTTTTTATTTTCCATGAATCCCAAAATACCCAGCAAGACATGCTGTCTCTGAGAAATATCCTGTTACCTAAAATGTAATCAGTTCAGTCCAAAACCACCTGCCCAGCAAGGCAGATAGGAAAATTAAATGAAGAGTATGTTCCTCCAGCTATAAACTAAGGTGAAATTTCTATAGAGGCAGAAAAAAAGTAAAAGTACCAGAGAAAGCTAGGTTTTTATAGAAAATGCTACCTGCCACCAATATAGTTAGAAAATAGAGGTTTAGTAAACATCAGAAAAAGGAGGACAATCTAGTTCTTCTTATTCTGTTTCTTGGTGCTTGCTGGTATTAGAAATCCAGTCCTCTTGGCAAGATTTCTGAGAAGCAATGGACATATTTTTATGCCCATCACTGACCTCTTTGAGTCATGTTCTTATGGTGGATTCTTTCCCATTTTCTCTTCCAGACAGGGCGCCTCCCACATTGCACTTGACGACGGCTGGCTACCCAAACGTGGCCTTCTGTTGGGCTGTTGTATTTTTATGTAGTGGCTTGCCAAATCCTGTGCCTAATTTAAACTTGACCCATTCCCAGCCTCCCTGCACTGTCTCTGGGTTTGCTGTTGTGCCCATGGGCAGGGCAGCTGGGCCTGCAGTGTAGTGTAGCCATCATCTGTTTCAGGCTTAGCTCCACCCAGCTCTAATCAAGGCCTCAAGAAGCTCTTTCTATTCACAACCATGTGGAATGCAACATTTCCACAACTTTGCAAAGCATTTTGTAAGGTTGCCTTTAGGTCAAGGTGAACTTAAAAAGCAGTCGTGCAATGAGGCTAGAAAACAATTGCTGGATGAACGTTAAGAAACCACTCATTCCCCACCTTACGAAAGTGAAAAGTCATAAATGAATTGATTTTGTTTAGCATAATCGAATGACTTCTTGGCTAGTGCTTTTTTTTTTTTTTTTCCATTTCTCCTCAGCTGTGGAGAATTCCACAAGTTATTTGGGTTACCAGCCTATCTGGAATAGCACTGCAAGCTATCAGCAAGCAACCCATCAATTTATCTTTCACGAAAATAACCAGCTCTGCTGCTCCTGGTGAGCTTTCTTCTACTCATGTTTCCAGATGTTATGTCTCTTCACCTCTGTCCACCTGACACTTGGCATCAGAGCACAAGTGTGGATCACCTCCCTGTGAGCAGGTGACTGCTGTCCTTCTTAGATGAGGTGTCATCCTAGGCAGAGGCTTTGTCATCTGAACCTCTTTGAAACCTGCCTAACTTGTGTGTGACATTGAGCACCTACAGTATCTGAAACCCAATTTTCTCATCAGTAAAATGAGGATACCAATACCTTTCTCACAACATTGTTGCAAGTATTAAATGATCAAATAAGGTACCCAGTAAAATAGAAGGAATTCATGACATATAAATTCTTCTTTAATAGAGACTCCGATTGTTTTTCTTCTTTCATTTACTTTTGTTTCAATTGAATTTTCTATTATCCTGTTCCAATCAACAGCGGTTTTGATTAGAATATTTTCTGATGTTTCGGAAATATGTCAGTGAAGGACTAGGGGTGTGCTTCTCCTGCATTTTTGTACATAAACTAAACATCCCTTTCAGCCACACCCTCATGGATGGTTTACCATTTCAGTAGTACAAAAAGCCACATATGAAAAATTAAATAAATGAGAAGCGTGTTATACTACTATCCACCCTCCCCAAGGAAATTGATATCACTGTATAATTTCTTCTCATTATGATTATTATTAATATAATGCTTTTATTTTTCTTTTATTGACATATAGGGAAGATTTACCAAGATGTAAATGGTTCCACTTAAAATTTATGTTAGCAAATTTTCCCCCGTTCTTCTTTATTGCTCTGAGCTATTGGAGTATCTGGCAGTTTCTCAAGGTACCCACCACTAGGTGGTAAAATGCTTTTAAATTCGGGATGTGTCAGCATTGTATCTCTGGAGAAATGGAATAAGTGAGAATCAATTGCTAATTTCTTATTTATACAAAAATACACTACTGGTTTGAAAACACACCTATATATCTCTGATAACTTAAAGGACATGATAGTGGCCAAGATTGGGGGAAAAAAGTATCCACATCTCTATAGGACATTCTTGCTGTAAAGAAATACCTGAGACTGAGTAATTTGTAAAGAAAAGAGATTTAATTGGCTCACGGTTCTGCAGGCTGTAGAGGAAGCATGGAGGCATCTGCTTCTGGGGAGTCTTCAGGGAGCTTCCAGTCATGGCAGAAGGCAAAAGGGGAACAGACACACACAGGTGAAAAGCAGGAGCAAGAGGAGGGGGAGGTGCTACACACTTTTAAACAAACAACCAAATCTCATGAGAACTCCCTTCCTATTGCAACAACAGTACCAAGGGGATGATACTAAGCCACTCACGAGAAATCCACCCTCATGATCCGGTCACCTCCCAACAGGCCCCGCCTCCAACACTGGAGAGCACATTTCATCATGAGATTTGGGCAGGGACAACATCCAAACTATATCAACGTCTAAGCTGCATCCATATTTTAAACATCTTTCTCCCACTCACCAAGACTAAAATAAACTACACTGCTTCCCTCTGTCTTCCATTTCCAAGTCTGTCTCGAGAAAAGATGATGTGAGACAGGGATCAGGATTCAGACTCAGATGCCACACTCCCTTGATCAAGCTCAGCTCCTCCACTCATAAACTTTTTGACCTTGGACTGGTTCCCCAGTTTTATGGTGCTTCTGTTTCCTCATCTGCAGTAAAGAGAGTAATAATAGTTGTTGTAAATCTTAAATGAGTGAATATAGGTAATGTATTACTGTAGTACCTGACTGCTGATAGAAGATGCTCAGGATGTTTTAGCTATGGTTGTGAGCTATCATAGAGCAGAATAAGGAGAAGAAGCTAGAGGAAATTCACAAGATCCAGATTTCCTTAGCTTTGATTATTTAGTGCAACTAAATATAGGTCTTTAAAACATGATTATACACGTAATATTATATATACACAATATTTTATATATATATATATATATACACACACACACACAATTTATGGATAGAACCCAAAAGCAAAGTAAAGTTTACTCTCTCTGATAAAAATACTGACCCACTGAATTAATGCAGCTGAGTATTGTGTTATTAGCTTTCATCCCACTTCTGACTGCTAGGGTGCTTGTGGTCAGCAGGAAAACTCATGTGTTTCAGTCGCTGTCTTCCATTCTGTCTTGCTGCTTTTTAAAATTTTAAATGTAGGACTTTGGTTTTATGGTTTCATTTTCTTGGACTCAGCCCATCACATACTCTCTGTCTACATTCAGATGGGAGCAATTCCTTATGCATCTAAACTATTAGGCCCGAAACTAGTTAGAAAACATAAATTTTTATTGTTCTGATTAAAATTATGCCTATAATAATTAATCTACTTGCAGGTATTATTCTTAGAAAATATCTCATTGTAGGCCGGGTGCAGTGGCTCATGCCTGTAATCCCAGCACTTTGGGAGGCCGAGGCAGGTGGATCACCTGAGGTCAGGAGTTCGAGACCAGCCTGGCCAACATGGTGAAACCCCATCTCTATTAAAAATAAAAAATTAGCTGGGGTGGCACACACCTGTAGTCCCAGCTAGTCAGGAGGCTGAGGCAGGAGAATCACTGGAACACGGGAGGCAGAGGTTGCAGTGAGCCGAGATCGTGCCAGTGCATTCCAGCCTGGGCAACAGATTGAGACTCCATCTCAAAAAAAAAAAAATCTCATTATTCAGTAGGTTTCTGTATTTTACTTGAATGTTCTACTAGCTGAGTATAGAGGTGTTTAAAGCCCTGGAAGGATAGCTCTCGGTGGTCTTCATACTAGCCCACTTATCTGAAAAACACTGATTATTGATTGAATGCCTACTACATGTCAAGCTAGGATCATGGAATACAGAGCCTACTAAATGTCAGGCTAGGAGCATGGAATACAGAGCCTACTAAATGTCAAGCTAGGAGCATGGAATACAGAGTTAAGTCAGACACAATCCTTATACTTCGAAAGCTTCCATTGTAGTGGGGAAGAGAGAGTTGATCTTCATAGTACTGTGTCGTAAGTGTTGTAATAGAAGTAAAAAGGAGGCCACAAGAAAGACAAACCCCAAACACATAGTAGAGATAATTTCTTTTGCTTCATGTAACTATTACAGCTTTTTATGAGAAATGGGAATGTTTAGTCTTAAGGACACACTATGGGCAACTTCACACAGCTAATTAGCCACTAAGCCCTTTGGAAAATTCAAACCTCCCGATGTTAACTTATGCAAAGTAGAGCACACTGTATTTCAGGCCCAGAGGGAAACATTTCTTGTCCTCTCTTTCCACTATAAGTTAATTATTTGTTTCACTGGTCCCAGAGGCTTCTTGACAACCAAACTTCTTTGAAGATTCTATCTTATTTCCTCACATAGCGAGCTAAAGGGCCTAGTAGGTCAGTGTCACCTGAACATTTAGGAATGTTCTGCACAAATGCATGTAAATAGATTTGTTTTGTGATTCCTATTTCTAAGTCATTCAAGTACCTTAATTTAAAAGCTTCAGTGAGTGCCTTTTAGTGGGTCTTTGATGTGACGGTGATTATAATTTGAGGAGCGAGAGGAAAGAGTGTGAATAGTTGGGCTCATCTAAAGAGATGGGGTTTCTTAGGAGAAAAGAAAGAAGTCTGCAAGAACTTAAGAAAGACACGTTGAGCACACAGTGTTGCTAATTGTATATATTAAGATTACATGTTGTTTTATTTTTAATGGTAATGAACTTGGAATATGGCTAAGGAGAAGCAAACAGAAATTGAGATCTTCAACTAAGCATTTAACGAAAGTCCTATGACTATAGTTTCTTTATTTGTGTTGCTTATGCTACGGAGATCAGAGCAAACCTGAGCTGGAAGGGTCACCTTTCTTCAGCATGATCCCTTTGAGCAGGGACCATCTTAGAATGGGGTAGATGCTTCAGAGGTCTATATCCACATATCAGTGAGCACACATTTCTGATTGCTCATCCATTCTTGCATATAGACAGACTCAAGGAGGGAAAATGAGGAACACCTTCAGGGAGAGTGAAAATAGAGTTAGGAGTGATATCAAATCAAAATTCCATAATGTTGGTAGTTGAGTTTTCTTGCATTAGATGAGATGAATAAGAATTTCATTTACTCCATTATTCATTTATAAGATATACTTTATGCTACACTTAACTTCCACTTAGGTAAGTTTATATACTCTTTTTACCTTTTTAAGATGCTTTTTTACTGTGTATCTTCAGTAACTATTCTTTGGTAAATAATACTAAATAACATTGCTATAGTGCATGCCAAATGCCAGGTATTGTTCTAAGTACATGATTTATGTAATCCCCGCAACAATCTTGCGAGATACTATTATTAGCCTAATTTAACATTTGAGGAGTTTGAGGCTAAGAAATAGCTTGTCCATCATCACTCAGTTAATAAATAAAGTGTATTACATGCAGGCATAAGACTTAGCTCTTCCTCTTGAGGATATACCCTCTCAATAAATTTATTGGATGGCCAAAATGATTTGTTGAATAAGTAAATGGGTGATTTGTTTTTAAGAATAACCATAAGTAATATAGAGAGGAGAAACACTTTTTTATTTTGAGCATTAATTTCACATCTAAATTTTCTGATAATTTAAGCTGAAAAGAAATATGGTGGTTTAAATAACTCCCATTGATATAAAATAGAAAGATAATGTGTTAACGTAAGTATTGAACTTCAACCTGGCATCGAGGTGTTTCCTACAACATAAGGGCCAATGTCTTAAGAAGAGCATTTAAGAAAACACATAAAAATAATTTTTATATAGCTACTCTATAAAATTTGGCAGAATTTGGAAGGGGTGGGGGTAAATTTTGGGGAGTACCCAGTGTAAGCCCACTCATTTGCCAGGTGTTTGTCTATAATATATCTGTCATATATCTATTATATCTATATCTATAATATATCTGTAATATCTCTATTACAGATATATCTTTTAATATATCTTTTAATATATATTAAAAGATAATATATATATATCTCTATGATATATCTTTTAATCTGATTATCTTATCATTATTTTTTGCTATTGTCCCCATTTTATAGCTGAGAAAATCAAGACTCACACAGACAAATTAGCTTGTTAAATTTACATAACTAATAAGTGGTGGAGGTGTATCTTCCCGATTCTAAAATCCATGGTTTCTCTGTGAGGCCACATTTAAAATACAATGATGAGGCAGCTAAAGAGTCTCATAGGTGTGACTTTCTAATGTGCTACACTTAAAAGAAGTGATATTTTTCTTGCATCCTTTTTTTTTGAAGACGTCATACAGGAAACCCAATAAATAAAAGACATGAATGTGGAGGTGTTTCTATTGGAGAGAATGTGTGCCTCTTTTCTCCTCCTTCATGACAGGGATGGATATGGCACTACGGATGCACAAAGAACATCCAGAGTACTGCTAAAAATCCAGATTCCTGGATTCTGACTTTTTTTTCTTTCTTTGTCTCTTTTTTTTTTAAATGAGGTCTTATGTTGCCCGACTGGTCTGGAACTTCTGGGTTCAAGCCATCCTACTGCCTTGGCCTCCCAAAGTGCTGGGATTACAGGCATGAGCCACCTCACCTGGCCAAATGTTTGGTATTTTTTGTTGTTGTTGTTTTTGAGTCAGGGTCTTGCTCTGTTGCCAGGTATGAATGCAGTGGTGCAACCACTACAGCCTTGACCTCCCTGGCTCAAGCAGATCCTCCCACTTCAACCTCCTGTGTAGCTGGGACTGCAGGTGTGAGCATGCCTGGCTGATTTTTTTTTTTTTTTTTTTGGTAGAGACTGGGTCTCTCTATCTTGCCCAGGCTGTTCTCCAATTCCTGGGCTCAAGCAATCCTCCCACCTCGGCCTCCCAAAGTGCTGGGATTACCGATGGGAGCTGCCACACCCAGCAGAATCTGCATTTTAAATAGGTACTTCCAGGGATTTCAATATCGGTGTCTTGTGAAAAACACTGACCTACAAAAAGCACAGCACCTTTCTCTTATTTGATTTTTTTTTTTTTTTTTTTTTTGAAACTGAGTTTCACTCTTGTTGCCCAGGCTGGAGTGCAATGGCATGATCTTGGCTCACCACAACCTCCACCTCCCAGGTTCAAGCGATTCTCCTGCCTCAGCCTCCCTCGTAGCTGGGATTACAGGCATGTGCCACCATGCCCGGCTAATTTTGTATTTTTAGTAGAGAGGGGGTTTCTCCATGTTGGTCAGACTGGTCTCGAACTCCCAGCCTCAGGTGATCCGCCCACCTTGGCCTCCCAAAGTGCTGGGATTACAGGCGTGAGCCACCGCGCCCGGCTTTATTTGATTTCCTTCATGTGGCAGTGTCGTTAGTTTCCTGACAAGATCCTCTACATTCTTCAATACAGGTAAATTTTACTTGGATTGCAAAAACAAATGCTTATTTCATTCATTATAATATCACCATCATTTTTACATGCAATAAAAAAAAAACAGAGCAGTGCTTGGTACATAATAGGTTGTCAATAATGTTAGCCAAATGGATGGATGGGTGAATATTATAATTGTAAGGAATTGTTACATGTTGGAAAATAGGACAAGATATAATACCTGAGTCCAGATCAAAAGCCGGTGAAAGCAGGAAATTTTAAATGGCCCACAAATAAATAAATCCTGTACCTTTAAAGAGAACAGGCCCTGTGTTTAAAATAGCTGCTCTGGGGCCTATTGACTAAATCACCTGCCTCTTGGGATTCACATGCTGAGCGGCTGTAGTGCTGCTCTGAATCTCTGTGTGGAAGCCTGCACTTCTGACGGTTGATAGGCCTTCATCTGAGCCAAAAACAAGACATTTACTGCCTTTTTTAGAGGAGACTATTGAGTAAGTGTGTGTAGTGATTGAACCTCCACTTCGTATTCACCATCGACCCAGTAATGGAATGCCTGCTTAGACTGCAGCATTATAGTGCAATGCTAATACTCCTGCCCCTTAGAACTCCTATTTTTCTTTTTGCTTCTTTTGCATCCCAGTGGTAACTACTGTCATTATAAAAGTTGGGATAATCCATACTAGCTTTATGCAAGTAAAGAACTGTCATTGAAGAACTGTCTACCCTGAGCTTATTTTCTGCAACCAAACAAAGCAAACATCAAAAAGCTGTTTGCTACTTTGAATTACTATCCAGGGTTGAAATGAACACCTCAGACTACACAAGACTTATATCCGTGTGTGTGTGAATTCAGTGGAGGAGTAACATGGCTGTTTCCAACTCTCCTTTGTATGGAGTGGTGTTGATAATATTGCGGGAAGGGGAAACTTGATCTGTGCCCAAATACACTTGTGAAAGGAAGAGTTAACGAAGTAAAACTAGGCTATTTACAGAAGTAATAGGGTCTTTAACACGTTAGTGTTCATAGTGAATTTTCAAACCAGGGCTATACTCTACGGTGTTTCCTGAAGTTATTTCATCCAAGAGGCCATTTTTAGGCATCTCACAGGATAAGTGGGTTAAGGAGCACACTTTAGTATTTATAGGGAAGCAAAGACCTTTGGGGAAAAAAAGGGGTATTGCATTTGTATATTTTTCTTTTCAGAAATAGCCGGAAAATATGAGCAGCCTGGGGAGTCAATTCAGTAACTGCAGAGTCTGGGGAAAACTACTTCAGTTCTAGGTCACCTATTTTGACATTGCTCCCATATGAAATGCTCTAATTCTTCAAAACTATTAACTTCCATTGAGAGATTTAAATAATTTGAGTCTCTCTTACCTCAGTCTCTCTGATCAAATTTTCACCGGTAATCTGATGTTGGTGAGAAATTGTGATGGAATAAGGTTGAATAAAAACTAAGTGAGGACTTGATGAATCTTTTTGACTGTACAGTATGGTTGTTGGCCGGCCAAGCATTTGAGGGGCTAGCAGGATGATGTGAAGCAAAGAGAGATGGGATGTGGTCAGCTGAGGAGTTTGCAGTCTTGGTTAAATCATCCTTGTGGGACTTGCCATACAGATGCCTGTTTTTAATGGATAAATATTTATGAATACACAATGCTAAACAAAGTGCATTGGTTGCTTTTCATGAGAAGGAAGCCCTTTCCATGTGGGTATCTAACCACTCGAAAGATTTCCTATAGAAGATCACTTTTGAATAAGGTTTTGAAAGTTGGCGATGATGCCAGCTGCCATTTGTTTAATGACTAACAGAAGTGTAGGTGATCACTGAAGGAAAAACAAAAATAGAAACCATGAGCAAATTAGCCTTATTGGAATGGAATAAATATGTTGTGATTCTTGAGTGTTGAGATACGACCAAGCATGGAGCTTGCAGCTAGGTAGACCTCTTGGGAGGTACAGACTCAGAATTTCACAGAGTCAAGGTTCAATGGGGCAGATGTAATAGATAATAGGGAGCTAACAGATGATGGTCTAGGCTAGCAGGAAGTATTGGGAGGTCTAGCTCAGAGGGGTGAGTGGGTCCCACCAGAGGAACAGTATACCTCTCCTAGCTTCCCAAACCTTCACCTGGTTAATTTGCCCCTTTAGACTTAGCTCAGGCATCCCTCCTTTTGACGCTGCCTTCTCCTCGCCTGTTCCCTACTCTCCCCTGCCTTAGCCTATTTAATTGTCCTCCTGCGTGCTCCCAAGCACCCTATTTATGTATCTATTTTAGCACTTATTAGGAATAGATTAAGATTTAAGAGGTCCCTTTTATTGGGGAGACCAAACTATTGTGTAACCCCACATAATAAAAATCATATTAAATTATAACATAAGGGTAAGGAGATCGTAAAGCTCTGAACTTGTCCATTGGTGATTGCTTTGGTTTTTTATATCAATTCTGTCGAACTCTTCTAAATTTTTCTTGATGTCCTCAGTGTCCTGCTATGCTGATATCCTAAATATGAGTTTACTCTGCCTGTTGGATAACACAGCTTCAACATTTATTTACTTAAATGACTCAAACGCATGTTTATTTCCACCAAAATACAGTGACCTTTACAAGAGAAAGAGGGTATGACTCATTCATCATTATAATTGCTAAAGATTGTCAATGAACATTTGTTGAGCTGGACTGTCAGTCTTGGGGGTCTTGGGTGACTCTAGGTAACCAGCTTTTCTAGGGGAAACTTCTTTCCATTGGTTTGATTCCCATCAAAGCTGAGTCTTAGGCAGCATCTGATGCTCACGCAGTTTATTCTGGCAGAACCCTTAAAAGACAGGTAGCGGGAGCAGGTGGTGGCATGGGCCTGGCACAGCCTGAGGGGCAGGTGACCCATTGACCAGGAGAGTTTCCATCCAGAGACCATTCTTAGAGTTTTGGGGATTCTTCCCCTTTCCTTATACCTGTATTCCTTCTGGGTCAGTTACAAGGTGTTTCTTTCACAAAGGGAGTTTAAGCTATTCTTGTAACGCTAAGCTTTGTTTTAAGGTTTATGAGAACTGCATCTGTGCTGAGGTAGTCTTGTCTCCTGGAAATTCCCAGGCCAAGGTTGCAAATCCCTGGGCCAAGATGCATCATACTGCTAAGTGACACAGAATATAGGCCCTGTGAGATGTTTGACTGGGCCCTATAACTATCATTAACCTTATAGCAATGATACGTCTCATAGAGTATACTATGTGGAGTTAACTAAACCCTGGTAGAAAATCAAGAAGTCAGTTGCTTCCAAGTCCAGGGTACCAATCAATAGGATTTAGGGAAACTTCTCAGTTTCTTGGTTTGAGGCATACTCCTTCCTTAAGAGGAAAACTGGGAGTGGAAGTTGGGGGGAGAAAAAAAAGGTTGATTGATTGAATGTTTTCCCATTCATGTTCTTTCATTTTTTTCAGTAAGAGCCTGCTGTCTGTCAAGCATTACTTGGCATAGAGGAAACAAAGGTTAACAGTGATATGCCCAATCTACAACATAACAAAGTTAGGATAATTGCAGCAATAACCTGGCTTGTTTAACGTGTTGTTTTCTAACTATTTTTCACTGTAAGTGGTTTGGCATTTCTTTTGACTTGTTGCTACCTATACTATTTAATAGTTGTTAGATATTTTCTCTATCAGCCTTTTTTTTCCTATAAGTAACTACAATATATTAATTAAACTACAGATTTCCATTTCCTGAGTCACTCTGGCTGATGTATAAAGAATAGAGTAGAAGGGGTCCAGCTGGGGACAGGAGAGAGGAACTGGTGCCCTAGGTTTGGGAGGTGCCTGTGGAGTGGGAGAGAAATGGGTGAATTTGAGAATGACTTAGGTGATGATGTTGATGGAATTTGGTAATTGACTGACTGTGGATATGATGAGAATGGGAGAAGTTAAGACTAATGTCCAGATTTCTGGCTTGGCCCATTGAGTGAGTGTAGATCCATTTACTGTATAAAAGAACATAGAAGGAGGATCAATTTTGTGCAAAGAGGATCAGTTCCATTTTGGACCTGTTGAACTTGATGTGTAAGGTGCTATCCAATAGATGTTCAAGATACAGTGAGCCTTGAGCTTTGCGTGTGGTGGGACCAATCAACCACAGGTAGCAGAGTTCTTTGTGAAGAGAGAGACACAGAATCAGGAAGCCAGGCGCTGAGTGGTGCTTCAAAGGCATAGGCTGCTGGGCTTCCTGGGTCTTTACACCCCCTTCCTATAGCCAAACATATAGTTCATGTATCACTCATCCACAAACGAAAAATTATGTCTAAAATTGCTGTCTAATTTGGCCTTCTGGGAGAGACTATTAACACAGTATGAAGCAGTTTTGAAGCCATCTCTGAATATGGATCCCTGATTAGGTACTGCAAATTCCTATCCATTCCTAGAGTGTGGATTCCAGATTTAGATATTTCAAATGCTGACTAATATACTCTACATATATATACTGTTCATATGGAAGTATTTTAAAGTAAGTTATCACTTTTTACCACTATACCAAGTCTGAAGCTCAACAGAAAGATCTGGGCTGGAGCTATAGATTCAAAAATCCTTAGCATATGTGTGGGAAAGCCCAAGGAGTATAGTGTGGAAAGCGAGAAGAGAAGGACCAGTGACAGACCCTTGGGAGATCCCAACATTGTAGATCTAGGTAAGGAAAGCAGATCCTAAAATGAAGACAAAGCATAGCACCCTGAGAGGTGGATGGAGAGAAGTCAGCAGCACTGTGTTATCCAGTTCAAGGGAAATGAGCGCTTTAAGGAAGAGGGGATAGTTAACAATATTAGATGTTCTCAGGAGATGCAATAGGTTAGGACAAGAAATGCCTTTCGAAGTGTGTTGTTGACTTTGGCAAGCAGAGATTCAGTGGCATCAGTGGGGCTGAAAACCAGATTGCATTAAGTTGAGGAGCAAATCAGAGGTGAATCTGTGCAGACACAGCCAACTCCTTCAAGAAGAGTATTCAGTCAATGCCTGAATCACACACTCTCAGAAAGGACCTTAGATTTCACCTGGTTAATGTCAAAATTGTTGCATGAATCCATCCCAACTCCTCATCATTTTAAAAGTAAATATTGAATGCCTACTGCATGCAAGGCCTGGAGCTAATTGTCTCAGGTTATTCAAAGATGAACATCGTCTTTACACTTAAGTAGTTTCCAGCCTGCTGGTGAAATAAGATACAGACAAGCTAACATTGCTATAGGTTGAAGTTATTGGAGTCACATGGCAACAAAATATGTTAGCTGTGGCGGGTACCCAAGTTACCGGCTGTGAATCCTTACGGGTTTTCAGCAACCTCGATTCTTCCCTCTTCAGAAGAAAGAATTCAAATAAAGCAAATGAATTCAAAGAAAGCAAAGTACCCTTGGAAGAGGGCCAAGAGGGCATCTCAGAGGACAAGTGCCCTATTTGACCTTGGACTTAGGGTTTTCTATGCTGGCATGTTTCTGGTGTCTTACATCCCTTTTCCCTTGCTTCTTCCCTTGGGGTGAGCTGCGCACATACACAATGGCCTGCTAGCACTTGGGAGGTGAGCATGGGCAGTGTGTTTACTAGAGTTGTACTTATGCTCACCTGACTCATTCTTCCCTTTACTGGTGGAACGCCCCCAGATGGACATACCAGTGAAACTCTGCCATTTTGCCTCTTAATGCACATGTTTGAGCCCATTTGCCCAAATCCTGAGATCTCATCAGGAGACTGATGATAACCAGTTTCAGGTGCTTTTTCTATCTATATGGAACCTGCCTTTCCTGGTGCTGGCTGCGACCAATTATTATTTTAGAGAGGCAGCGTGACAACTGCATGACCATCACCTGATGGTTGCCTGACATTCCTAGTGGGATGAGGGGAAGCCTCACCTCCCCTACTCATGCCTGACTATCTACCTACTATAACAACATGAGATCCAAGGATTCACAACCTATAAATTTAACTCTTTTTTAAATTATTATTACTATTTTTGAGATAGAGTCTCGCTTTGTCGCCCAGGCTGGAGTGCAGCGGTGTGATCCCGGCTCACTGTAGCTGGGACTACAGGCGCATGCCACTGTGCCTAGCTAATTTCTTTGTATTTTTAGTAGAGACGGGGTTTCACCATATTAGGCTGGTCTCGAACTCCTGACCTCAAGGGATCCACCCACCTCGGCCTCCCAAAGTGCTGGGATTACAGACATGAGCCACCATGCCCAGCTATAAATTTAACTCTCAGAGATAAATAGGAACAGAGATCCTACAGTAAGAAGAATAAGAGTTTGAATTCTGGCTTTAGACTACCTAGATTCAAACCATCTCCACCACTTAAAATGTGTATTATTTATTCTCTCTGCCTCATTCTCCTCATATGTAAAATAGGAGAAATAATAGTACCGACTTTGTAAGTTTTTTGCAAAGATTAACTGATAATTTATAATAGTTCTTTGAATGTAATAAGTCTGAATACATAACAGGAATTTTTAAAGCCTAAACTGGCCCTCTTATTGTACAAATGAGAAACCCAAGGCTCAGGGAATTTAAATGACTTATCCAAATATTTCAGCTGGTTAAGGTGAGAGGTGGGACTGGAACGTTAAATAACTGACTTCTAGTCTGGTGTTCCTATTTCTTACCAATGTTCTGTCTGTCTATCTGCAGTGAAAATTCAGGGAAAGCCATACTCATACGACATACATAATATAAAATTATCAATTTGGCTATCTCTCCCCAGCCAAAAAAAATTACTTTGTGTTTTAAATACTATTAACTAAATCAGTAACCCCAGAAAAAAAAAAAGTCTTGGAAATAAATTACCATGAATAAATAGTCATATATCAACGGTGTACATATTGGCAAGAGCTAGGAAATAAAGTGAGAGGAAGGACAAAAAAGGACTGTGTATTCCAAGCAGGTAGTACCCAGGACAGTAAGAAAAGTGGAATCCATTAAGTCAGTCTGTCCTAATTTTAAGTAAATGGCTTTATTTATGTACATGTTTGTGCAATTTTAATAATGGTTGCCCTGAAAGAAACCACTGCCTATTAAATGACTATTTAGTAATAACTATTTATTCTTTCCACATAAAGAAAGGAGAAGCCAGACTCCATAATTAACAGTTTAATGTGCTGAAATGAATGGTCTCTTGGACTGAACACAAAGCCAAAGGGAGGAGTTTTGAATACTAATTCTACAGCCTTGACTTTTCTACACGGGGCCCTGAGAAGCCCAGGAGAGACCAAAGGTTTCCCATTATACCTTAACAGAGGGGAATTATGTCTTCAGTTTTCTTTATTCATTCAACAAATACTTACTGAGCACCTGTTGTGTGATAAACATTATTCTTTGCACTAAAGATAGAGTAGTAAACCAGAGAAATGTGGTCCCTGAACTCGTGGAGGTTTACATTCTAAGAGAAATACGTAGAAAATAAAGGCACACACAAAAACGTAAATGAATGAGATGAGATGGGTACAGTGCTAAGAAGAAGCTGAAACAGGGTGATAAGATAGCTGTGGTGAGATGAACAGTACGGAAGGTGTTACTTTAGAGATAAGATGCCTAGCAGGAGGTAATACTTGAATTGAGATATGAATGGTAAGAAAGAAGCATACATACAAAATGTCTAAGGATAAATTATTCCAAGTAGAGAGAATAATGTATGCAAAGGTCCTGAGGCAGGGGTGAGCTTGCCTGCCTGAGGGCTAGAGTGAATGTTAGTGAGGTTGTAGCACAGTGAACAAGGTATAGTGTGGTTTTAGAAAAGATCAGAGAGGTAGTCATGGGCCAGATCATACAGGTCAGGGGCTTGCAAACATTTTTTGAATGTAACTCATATTAAGAAAAATGTTTTGTGTTGCAAACAAATACACACATAGCCTAACTTAATATGGTGATTTATAATAAGATAAATACATTTGGCATTCCTCTTGTTTTCTAGCACATAGCTCCTAAAACTCTTGGAATCTCCAAAGTGACAAGTGTCTTTTTGTATGCAAAGGAAATGACTGGTGGCTGGGGGCTCCTGGGTAGCCTCAGGATGGGGGCTGGTTTCCAGGGAAACTGAAGAAGTAATTAAAGAGTTAGAACTTTCATCTCCACTCCCCACTTATGGGGGATGTAATCAATCAAGCCCATGTAATGATGCCTCCATAAAAATCCAAAATGATTGGGTAGCTCCTGGATAGCTGAATATGCAGAGGTTTCTGGATGGTGGCATGCTTGGGGAGGCCACGGAAGCTCCATGCCCCTTCCTGCCTGTCTCACCCTATGCATCTCTTACCTCAGGCTGTTCATCTGTATCCTTTGTAATATCCTTTATAATAAATGACCATAAGTGAAAGTGTTTCCCTGAATTCTGTGTCACCCTATGCATCTCTTACCTCAGGCTGTTCATCTGTATCCTTTGTAATATCCTTTATAATAATGAATGACCATAAGTGAAAGTGTTTCCCTGAATTCTGTGAGCTGTGCTAGCAAGTTAATCAAACCTAAGAAGAATGTTGTAGGAACTCCAATTTATAGCCCATTAGTCAGAAGCCCAAGTCACAACCTGATGCTTGTGATTACCATCAGAATTGGGAGGCAGTCTTGTGGGCTGAGCCGTTAACCTGTGGGATCTGAGGCTACCACCGGGTAGATAGTGTCCGAATTGAAAGGACATCCAACTGATGTCTGCTGGAGAATCTGGTGTCAGTAGTCCTGTGTTGAGTGGTGTTGGTTTTTCCTATCTTTTATACCTTAATATTTAAAATTAAAAAGCATCACAAAATACTTTCCCTTACTACATATGGTGCACTGTGGCATTTTTATTCCACTCTATTTTTTTAATGTTGTCATGATTTACCAAACTGCATGATTAATAGTTCTTGATTTACTAGACTGGGGTCTTTCAGACCATAGTTAGAAAGTTTGGATTTTATTCCATTAGCATTGAAAAACCACTGGAAGACCACTGGAGTGTTTTAAGTAGAGTAGTGATATAAGTTTTAGGAAGATAACTCTACTTGTTGGTCAGGAGAAAGAGGATGTTGGCTTATACAAAGGTGGAAACAGTGGAAAGGATAAGACATGATTGGATTTGCTGACAAATCAGATATGGGCAAGAAAGAAAATAGAAGAGTCAAGGTTGATTCTTGGGATTTGGTCCAAGCACCTGAGTGAATATTGGCACTCTTAATAGATGTGTGGTTGATTGAGGAAGTAGCAGGTCAGGAAGTAGGGTATAAAAGTTCTATTTTGGACATGTTATACGTTTGAATTACCTATTACATATGGAAGTTGAGTTGTCAAGTAAGTGGTTGGATCTTTATATCAGGTGCTCAAATGGGAGATTAGTATCCATGACATTAACTGAGAATCATTCATTCTATGAGCTCCATGGAGCTGGATAACATCACCTGAGGAGACAGTGGAGATGGAGATGAAAAGAGAAATGAGAATCAAACCCTGGGAAACTCCAGCCTTTAAAGTATTTAAAGTCTGTCTGAGGAGGAAGGAGGTACGCAGGAGTTTGGCTGCCTTCTGTGTTATGAGATTTGCATTTTGGACAAAGCCATCTCTCAGTGTAGCTCCCTCTGACTCTTCTGTTGCACACTGGTCTTCTCCTCTGCTGAACTATCATAGTTTAACACGTAGTTGTCTTTAATACTGTTCTGGGGTTGTTTATGAATTCTCAGTGTTATATGTTCTTTCCTTAACTTCATCATAAATCTAGTGAGATCAAGGACTCTATTCTACTTATTTTATTACTGTCAGGCCATTAATTCATGCATATTTATTGGGTGTGACACCCATAGGTCATAGAGCGCTTCTGACCACAGAAGAATAGATGTTATATTAGTGCATTCTTACACTGCTGATAAAGACGTACCCGAGACTGGATAATTTATAAAGAAAAAGAGGTTTAAGGGACTCTAGTTCCACATGGCTGAGGAGGCCTCACAATCACGGCAGAAGGTGAAAGACATGTCTTACATGGTAGCGGACAAGAAAGAATGAGAACGAAGCAAAAAGAAAACCCCTTTTAAAATCATCAGATCTTGTGAGACTTATTCACTACCATGAGAACAGTTTGGGAGAAACTGCCCCCCTTGATTCAGTTATCTCCCACCGGGCTTCTCCCACAACATGTGGGAATTACGGGAGCTACAATTCAAGATGAGATTTGGGTGGGGACACAGCCAAACCATATCAGATGTCTAGTATATACTTTTTGCACCAAAAATCTTACGATGATAATAGTGAGCACCTTATTGCTAAGTAAGATCTATGAAAGTAGAATCATTTAAATATATTTGCCATCTAGAGTTAACAGGTGGTCAAATGACACAGTGTCATATTATTAAAATTTGCTATATTCTTCGTTGATAGTGATGAAAATTTTGTTTTCAAATTGCCAAAATTAGCTTTATGACTTTCCCCCTCCACAGGAGAAACTCTAGGAAAAGTCTCCTACTTTGAGGGTCAGTATTTAGAATATTTACTAAAGCAAATTAAGCAAAGATCTACAAGGCCACGATAAAGAGTGCAAGGCCTGTAAGGGCCTGCTTGCCCTACAGCATGGGTGTCTGTTCAGAATAACCTCTGTTCAGATATTTGAGATAACAGTTGAGATTTTGTTTAGCATGGCCAAGAAATGAGGAGGGACATCTAAGAACAAGAAGAGCTGGATAGGCTTTTTTGATTGCAAAGTTTCCTTAGCCCCAAGTTTTACTGGATTCTGGTGAACCACTTCACTGTGACATCAATCTTCATTTTATTCCTGAAAGTCTAAATGTATGTCAAGAGATATTTTCAGTGTGATTGCTTTAGGATAAGGGATTCCCCTTCCAAATTCATATTCCTTTAGGAAGAAACAGTATACATTTTTGAAGCACCCAGAACTTAGTCAAGTATATGTAGGTGTCTTTCAAATCAAGCAGAGGATGATGGGAATTAGGGTGGAAAAATTATCTTGTTCTGGCACACGGATGACATGATTGGGCTACATTTAAGCTCAGCTATACAGCTGCTTTCTATTCATTTTCAGAAATCAGTGTTCTGTCAAAAAAAAAAAGCATCCACGCTATGCAGAAAAATTCTAAGATCATTTCCTCCGAGAAAATTGCTTTGCGTCAGGGAATAGCTATTAGTTCAATACTTTGGGGGGGAATTGTTAAGAATTATATCAGGCTTATTAGAGAATCCTTAAGGCCAAATCAACTCAGAAAATTTTGAAATACAGTAGATGGTTTTTCAACCTTGACATGGGTCATCAGAGGGAGGAGTGATTTCGCTTTTTATAGAAATAGAGAAGGTCAAGCTAAGGCATACAGCATTCCAGAGTGTATTATGGCAAAGAGTTCAGAGTAGTAGTGTGTGGTGTAAATAGGTACATGACACTGTGCATGGGCCGTGCCTTCCCATACTGCTCGGCCTTCACGTTGCTCTTATCCCTGACTGGAAATACCTTCCCTACCCTCTTCATCTGGCTTATTTGTATTCATCTGTTAACGTCCACCTCAAATGTTTTAATCCTCCCCTCCTAGCCTGTTTCTTTTCTCCTTAACAACCTTGATCGCTTGCAGCCTTCTGCTGGGCTTCTGTAATGCCTTCTACCATAGCACTTCACTTGCTGCGTTGACATTTCCTATTTCCATTTTCCCCAGGAAGCTGAGGTTCTGAAGGGCATGGGCATTTTGTTACTTATATTTGTATCCCTAGCATTGAACACGGGACCCAATACATGTTAGGCTCTTGGAAAATGTTCTACTGATTTGAACAAGCTGTGGTCATGTCTGCTGTATATAACATGTTTATGGAAGGTGTTCACATCTCTGGGGAAGCTTAGCAAGGATTCCTAGATACAGTCATGGTGGTGAAGGGGCTCAGTGCAAAACTATAGAGGCTGGGTTTGAGGACTGACTGCGCCACATGATACGTGTACGGTTGTGGACAAGTTCTTTAACCTCTTCAAGCTTCAGTGTTTTCATCTGTGAAATGAGATAGTAATAATTATAGCACCTACTGAATAAGGCAGTTAGAAGGAGTGAATAAGATAACACATGTCAAGTGCTTAGTATAGTATCTCAGACAGAGAAACACTCAATGCAAGTTAGCCGTTATCTGTTGATGCAAGCAAATGCATGCATCTTGGTTCTCAGATTTTTTGTGTGACTTAGAAAATCTATTTAGTTTTTGTACTTCAAGTTCTCTCTACCCACGGAAGTTATTTAAACAGTGTGAATCAGTTGTTAAGCAAGAGAAGGAGAGGAAAGGCAGAGGAGAAGAGGAGTGATGGGGTGGGTTGGGGGGTGCGGGGAGAGAGAGAAAGAGAGAGAGATTCTTTGACCAAATAAAGAAGTCAAGGCAAAAAGCTAGGACGTGAAGTCTGTGCTTTGCTATATTGGTTGGCTTCTGCAATCCCTTTTTCAGGGGTTCCTTTCAAGGTAACTACAGAGTGTAATTCATTTGAATCACTGCTACCTGATAAAGCATCTAAACGAGTTTTTATAACCAAGTTGCAGGTGATTAAAGCCTGTAGCAGAGAGAATAACAGCCCTCCAAAATGTCTGTTTCCTTATCTCCAGAACCTGTGAATATGCCAGTTTCCATGACAAGGCAGAATTAAGGTTTCAGACAGATAAGTGACATAACTTCATTGAGCTTCCACTGTCTCATCTTGGCTGCTTATCTACTATTTTTCTCTGTGCTTCCTTGGATCTGCAGCTACTGCCTCCCTCCCACCTGGCCTCTGGAAATATACTTTGATGGACAGGCACCCAGACCCACCCCTAACATTTGTAGGGCAAGAGTACAAGTAGAGACCCTCATAACCTAGGATTTTACAGTTGACCTTTGAACAATGTGGGGGTTAGAAGTGCCAATCTCCCTCACCATCAAAAATCTGCAAATAAATTTTGACTCCCCAAAAGCTTGGCTGCTAATAACTTACTGTTGACCAGAAGCCTTACCAATCATATAAACATTTGATTGACACGTATTTTATATGTTATATGTATCATATACTATATTCTCCCAATAAAGTAAACTAGAAAAAATAAAATTAAGAAAGTCATAAGGAAGAGAAGATATACTTACTATCCATTAAGTAGAAGTGGATCATCATAACAGTTTTAATCCTTTTCATTTTCATGTTGAGTAGGCTGTGGAGGAGGAGGAAGAGAAAGAGGAGGAGGAGGCGTTGGTGTTGCTGTCTCAGGAGTGGCAGAGGTGGGAGAAAATCCAGGGATAAGCAGACCTGTGCAGTTCAAACCCATGTGGTTCAAGGGTCACTTGTACTTCAAAGTTATGAATCAAGCTAAGAAAATGTTCAATAATATATGTACTATCTTCCCTCTTTGACAAGCCTACCTTCATAATTACAAGAAAGACCACATTCATATTTGGAATTCTTGGACTCCTCAGTGTCCCATGATGGAACATAGTGACCTGGGAGAGCCAGCCTCCAGTACCTAACCCCAGCCTCTAGCCTACTCCTGTTTCCCTTTCCACCTGAGGATTTTCCTTGTGTGCCCAGCAGCCTCTTGGATAAGTGTATGGATGCTCCAGTCTGCATGCCCAAGCTCTATTCACACCATCCCCACTAATAGCCACCCCTCAGGCACCCCTTGAGCCTGATCTACACATACTGGCTGTGCCATCTATCTTCAGGATAAAAAACCTGGGGAAGGGACCTGGAGATTCTTGATAATGGGATCACGTTCTTTAGGGAAGGAAATTTCTGGATTCTAACAGTGTGTGCGAGAATTGGGGGCAAAGATGCTTGGTGGACACAGCCCCTTAGCTATGTAGAACTTTTAACCTCTGGAGAAGGCTATAACTAGAGGAAGCTAGAAAAGGCCCTACAAAGTGTAGGTCTTGGCCAGGTGTGAGAAAAGTACCGAGGGCACTCAAATAATAGTACTTTCTATGTTTTATTGTCTTGTCAAGCATCTCTTGGTGTTTATAAAATAGCTGTAACCTTTTTGGGTTAGTACAGTGTGACCCATCCTGACTACCACAGATTTCATGCGTCTGTCCCAAGGGCCTGGAGACAAACCAGATACATTAAACTTATTGAGATGTTCAGCAGCTCCTCAGCTTTTACATGACCAAAGCCTGATATCTGTAGAAGTCCATTATGCCAAATTCCATCTTTCCTTGCAAGAACTTCTTACAGGAAGATCCCTTAGTTCCTGGTGGGTCTGCACCAACAGTTCGTCCAACATACCCATTAGCATCTTCTTTATGGTCAAGCTGAGACTCCTACAACATTGGGATATATTACAAAAGTTGTCCACAGACAATTGTGATTAAAGGTAGGGGAAAGCCCTTTCTCCTGACTACCCACTGTAGCAAAGTCATGAGGAAAGTTTAACAAAAGGATGAGGACTACAGGGTCTCTAGAGATTTGAGTTGACTACATAGTTCTTTTCATCTTTAAATGTATTCCAAAGGTCAAGGATTTTCAAACAAAATAAAGTTTTTGTGTGTGTGTCTAATGCATCTATGTTGTAAATAAGAATTCACGAAGACAACTCAGAACTCTGTAAAGAGGGGTATGAGATAACACCAGTAATGTCCAGTTGAATGTAAAAGGCACCAAAACCAGGTTTGCACTAACACACTCAAATATATTTAAGTCGATGTTGCCAGGTTTTCAATCTTAGTGTTATGGGTTGAACTGGTCCCCAAAAAAGATATGTTAAAGATCTACCCCCTAGTACTTGTGAGTGTGGCCTTGCTTGGAAATAGGGTCTTTGAAGATGTAACGAAGTTAAGATGAGATCACCGGGGTGGATCATAATACAATAAGCTAGGTGTCCTTATTCAAACAGGAGATGAAGACACAGACAGAAGAGGGGAGAACACTGTGTGACAATGAAGGGAGACACTGAAGTGCCGCAGCTGCAAGCCGAGGAGTGTCAACAATTGTCAGCAAACCCAATGAATCTAGGAAGAGGCAGGGAGATCGCCCTTGCAGATTTCAGAGGCAGTGTGGTCCCGTTAACACATCAGTCTCAGACCTGTAGCTTCCAGAACCATGAGACAATAAATGTCTGTTGTTTTAAGCCACCCAGTTGGTGGCACATTGTCATGACAACCCTAGAAAGCTCATATGATGCATAAGAATGGGATGAAAAGACCAGGGAAACAGAAAACTTTACATATGCCATCCTCAGGAGGCACAGAGGAACCTCAGAAGGAGAGTGTCAGTATTTTCCCTGGGCTTCTTAATTGGTTGGTGAGAACATCGCAGCCCTGATTTATCTATTAAATAAAACAGACTTATTTAATATCTTCCAGAGAGTTTGAATAGAAAAATGAGCCGCCATATAGTATTATTAGTAAAACTATAGTCACAGTGACACCATGGCCTGTGGGTGAGAGGCTGGAAGGCCCAGCACTCATGGAGGGCTTCTCTCCCCAGATTTATGCTGGCTTCTACTAAAGGTTAGGGGTGGGGGAGATATGAAGAAAACAGATTCATTTCACTCTTTATAAAAGAGTATTTATTTTTTCCAACTCTTACTATTTCTTAGGAGGGTATAAGATTTGGTATTGAACTTACTTTTATATTTTATTTCTGTGCCTCATTAGGCTCACCAGGGGGAGGCTGAGCCTGGTTTACAGATCATTGATCCTGTCCCAGGGTTACGAACATAGACGGATCTAAAGTGGAAATAAGGTGACAACACAGGGACACTTTCCTCCTGAGTCATGGGAACTATTTTTAGACTCTTTCCTTTTAAACTTGGTAATAATGCCCGTGACCCCGCCATACATACATACACATCTACACCACTGACAGGCAATTAAGAATTGTAAACAGGCCAGGTGCAGTGGCTCACTCCTATAATCCCAGCACTTTGGGAGGCTGGGGCAGGTGGGTTGCCTGAGGTCAGGAGTTCAAGATCAGCCTGACTAACATGGTGAAACCCCATCTCTACTAAAAATACAAAAATTAGCCAGGCGTGGTGGTGCACGCTTGTAATCCCAGCTACTAGGGGGGCTGAGACAGGAGAATTGCTTGAACCTGGGAGGCGGAGGTTGCAGTGAGCTGAGATCACGCCACTGCACTCCAGCCTGGGCAACAGAGCAAGAGTCCATCTCAAAAAAAAAAAAAAAAAAAAAAAAGGATTGTAAACAATTATTTGACAGAGAAGATTTGAATAGTGCATGGTTGCAATGGCATGAATATTCAAGTGTATCGTGTTTACTTGCTGATAGGAGAACATTTCCTTTCAATTTAGTAAGTACTAATAGTGACATTTGAAAGTCAAGTTCCCTGTTGAAGTATGTTATGTTGTATTTCATAATGCTGAAGTACATTAGAGAGTATAATAAAGGTTATAATGTAGATATGGGAAGCATTTGAACTGTATTATCATAAAAGCATGTTTAAACGTGTTTAACAGGTAATCCTTCAGTTCTAACCCCAAGTGAGAGAGAGAAGAAAGGTGGGAGGGAAAGAAAGATACCAGGAAGCCGGGAAAGACAAAGAAAGAGGAAAAGAAAGGGAGTTGGATCAAGTATTTTAGATTTGTGCACAGCTCCAGGAAAACTTCAGCAAGGCTGTGGGGAAACTATGAAGCTAAAATCACCATGGGAGCATCCTATGTTTCCCAGAAATAGCCCATTTTAGTCACTGGGCTGTGCTTCATCATTGGTTGGGAGCAACTACGGAGATACGTGGATTCAGTGCAAACCTCAAAGCAACTGGTTGTCTATATAACATCTCCTTTTGCCCTGGCCAAAAGGTAATTAAGATAATAAATACAGGCTTTAAGTCTCTACAGCCCCCTGCAATTAGATAGATCTGAGACTGATCTCTCAGACTTGGGGTTCATGGACTGCTCACAAAATTTGCTGCTGTTGGAGGAACAAGCCTTTGGAGGAGGTCCACTGGCATTTCGCTTCACTCTAAGTTCCTCATGAGCTCATTTGGGGATCTATGGGCAGTAGAACGTAACATTTATGAATTGAAATTGCACTACTGGCTGGTGTACATTTCATATATAGGAAATTGCCAGATTGAAGAAGAAGAGACAAAACCTAAGTGGCTAAGGACAAGCAGAAAAATCATCTGTCTACAGATGATATATATGGCATTCAAATTACCCTTTAAGGGAGAATTTATCTGTATGCATAGCACCTGGGCACCAAGTGTACAAAGATTAGTAGGGTGTTTTCCTGCCCATGAGAGAGTCACATATATTCAGATACTCATCATCGCTGACTGGTATCCTCAAAATTTGTTAAGACCAAGAATGGAGGTGTCGGCCGTTGAAGAAAAGATGTAGAATAACCCACTTGCAGTTCTTTTTCCCCACTGAAGACAAATGGTTTTTCAAGGCCTTCACTTGAATGATATCAAAAGTTTGGCCACTTTTCCCCTTTGGCTAACTAAGGAAACAGACAAATCTTTGAGGATCAATGGCTCTACTCAGTTATAAGTGAGAACATGTAGTATTTGGTTTTCTGGAAGTGGGAGCTATACATTAAGTACACATGGACATAAAGATGGGAACAACAGACATTGGGGATGACTAGAAAAGGGGGGGGGGGTCAGGGCTGAAAAACTACCCATTAGGTATTGTGTTTACTCCCTGGTTGATGGGATCATTTGTACCCCAAACCTCAGTGTTATGCAATATACCCACGTAACAAACCTGCACATGTACTACTGAACCTGAAATAAAGTTGAAATTTTTTGAAAAATGGATCTACCCCAAATCTCAGCAGAAAACAAAATGCTTGGTAGGAAATATGAAAAACAAAACAAACAAACAAAAAAACCCTAAACTCATAAACCACAAGGATCTCACAGGAAGCATAACAGCCCTACTCCAAAGAGAAAAAAAGTCTAAATGCCAAAGGTACTTTCCATAGACCAGGGCACACCTTCAATTGTGTGAAGCTGGCCCATATTACTGGGGATTCAGACCAACTGATGGAGGGGAGAGAAGAGAGGAATCCCCTGAATAGAACTCCAGGGCCCCTTTGCCTTCCCTGAAAACCTCTCTCTTGAAATACTTTAAAGAGAATAGAAACCACAGGGAGACTTCCTGGTCCTTTTCAAATGAGATTTTTCAAGCAAGGTACAGGAAAACAAGGAGGAGTTGCAATGAGAATCCACCCATTTTATGTTTGGGCAAAAGGCAAGCCTGCGTAGAATAGCGTTCACTGTTCAGTGATACCTAGACAGGCCAGGCGCGGTGGCTCATGCCTGTAATCCCAGCAGTTTGGGAGGCTGAGACAGGAGGATCACATGAGATCAGGAATTCAAGACCAGCCTGGCCAACATAGTAAAACCCTGTCTCCACTAAAAATACAAAAATTAGCCTGGCATGGTTGTGGGCACCTGTAATCCCAGCTACTTGAGAGGCTGAGGCAGGAGAATCTCTTGAATCTGGGAGGCGGAGGTTGCAGTGAGCCAAGATCGCACCACTGCACTCCAGCCTGGGCGACACAGTGAGACTCTGTCTCAAAAATAAATAAATAAATAAGTAAGTAAATACAAAGACACCTAGACATAAAATATCTTGCCTATGTTAAATTTATGCAAAAGAGAAGGTAGCCAAAGGGTAAAAGAAAAAAAGTCTAGCATGCAGAAGATTAATTCAGGAACACATTTTGGAGGAAAGCACACTCAAGGAATTAGAAGAAAATTTTAGACAAGTGTTTTCCAACATGGAGGAATTTAATAAAATTTAAGGTATATCATCTACTGTTCTGAATGAAGAGATCAAAGATGAGACGATAATTTAAGTGAATTCACTTTAAGGGCAGCTAGCCATATTAAGGAAAGAAACTGAAGAGAAAGTAATTGCCATCATGGAAATTAAAAGCTCTTTAGAAACTCGAAGTACAGAATCAGCACTACAGAGCTGAGTCAGTGATAGGAAGGAGAAGACTGAGAAAATCAGCCAGAGTTTAGGGAAAAAAGAGTTAAAACAATTAATCAGTTATAATAATTTATATTTTGAACATATATTCTGTGTAAAGCATTGCTCTAAATTCTTGTGTTAACTTATTTAATAAGGGAGAAGATTATAGATATGGAGGCACGAAATAAATATCAAGCTTATGGATCATTGTTATACCTGAAGATAATATCAAAACAACAACAGAAACAAGTCAGGTGTGGTGGCTTACCACCTGTACTCCCAGAACCTTGGGTGGCTGAGGTGGGAAGACTGCTTGAGGCCAGTAGTTCAAGATCAACCTTAGCAATATAGCGAGACTCTATCTCTACAAAAAAAATAAATAAATTTTAAAATTAGCTGAGCATGGTGGCATAACCTGTAGTCTCACTTACTCAAAAGGATGAGATGGGAGGATTGCCTGAGCCTAGGAATTTGAGGTTACAGTGAGCTATGATTGTGCCACTGCACTCCAGCCAGGGAAACAAAATGAGACTTTGTCTTAAAAACCAAACAAACAAACGAATGAATTCAGGGCAGGGCACGGTAGCTCATGCCTGTATTCCCAACACTTTGAGAGGCCAAGGCGGGCAGATCACTTGAGGTCGGGAGTTTGAGACCAGCCTGGCCAATTTGGTGAAACCCCGTTTCTAAAAATACAAAAATTAGGCGGGCGTGGTTGTGTGCACTTGTAATCCCAGCTATTTGGGAGGCTGAGGCACAAGAATCGCTTGAACCCAGGAGGCGGGGTTGCAGTGAGCCCAGATCATGCCACTGCACTCCACCCTGGGCAACAGAGTAAGACTCCATCTCAAACCAAAAAAAAAAAAAACAAAAAAAACAAAAAGAAAGAAATTAATTCAAACCCAAATCTGCAGATCAAGATGAGGCAAGATGTTCTAAGCATGTGTATCACAAAGCAAGTAGCACAAAGATTGTAGTAGGTTGTTGAAATGCAAGGATTTAGAAATATTTCTACAAGCATACATGCAAAAGAATATACATCATCCCTCAGTATCTGCACAGGATTGGTTCTAGGACCCTGGTCGATACCAATATCCGTGGATGCTCAAGTCCTTTTTATAAAATGGCATAATATATGTGGATAACCTACACACATCCTCCCTTATACATTAAAACATCTCTAGATTACTTATAATGCCTAACACAATGTAAATACTACATAAATAGTTGTTATACTCTACTGGGTTTTTGTATTTATATTTTTTAATTGTTCTTGTTTTTTGCTTTTTCTCATATCTATATATAGATATAACATAATATTATATAAATATAACTATGTATTATAATATGTATTATATAAAATATAACTATATAATATTATAATATATAAAATATAACTAATATAATATATAAAATATAACTATATAATATTATATATGATATATCTATATATGTATTAATATCATATCATAGTTGACCCTCCATATTAGCGGGTTTCAACCAACCATAGATTGAAAATATTGGGGAAAAAATAAGAACACAACAACGAAAAATGCAAATAACAAAAATACAAAGTAACAATATAGGGTCAACAATATCATAGAGAAAAAAATTAGCCTGGATCCAGACTTTTTCCTTAGCAGCATTGTGTCCCAAAGACAATGAAGCAACAGCTACACAATTTGAGACAAAATAGTGTAACAAAAGTATTATATAACCAGTTAAGTTATAGCTCATATAAAAAGAAAATAGAAATATATGAATAAATATTCAAAGATTCAGAACATTTTAAAGACTCAGGAAATAGATCAGATATACCCTACTGAACTGGAAAGTGATAATAATTTCAAAAACTCGTGTAGAATGAGTGGACTAGTAATGAGATTAAAGTCATTTGAGCAAACAATTATTCACAATATCTATTGGAAATATTGGCTGTACAAAAGAAAGCAAGTATACCATACAATATAAAGTAATAATAATTACACTAGGATAAAGGGACATAATCCTTTTTTTTTTTTTTTTGAGACGGAGTATCGCTTTGTCACCCAGGCTGGAGTGCAATGGTGCAATCTCGGCTCACTGTGATCTCGGCTCACTGCAACCTCCGCCTCCCAGGTTCAAAAGATTCTCCTGCCTCAGCCTCCCAAGTAGCTGGGATTACAGGCATGTGCTACCATGCCCGGCTAATTTTTGTATTTTTAGTAGAGACACGGTTTCACCATCTTGGCCAAGCTAGACTCAAACTCCTGACCACAGGTGATCTGCCTGCCCTGGCCTCCCAAAGTGCTGGGATTACAGGTGTGAGCCACTACGCCCGGCCAAGCCCGGCCCGGCCAAGGGACATAATCTTGAAGCATGCTCCAATAAAATGAAGATGAGAGAAAGTAAGCTATTCCTGGTCTTTTATGTGCCTTTTTTTCTGTATGTATTATTTTATGTCTGTACTTAATATATTAAGAACTTTGTTAAAATATGCTATTTAAAGTTATAAAAGTGACTACTAGTAAAATAAAAAAGAGACATATCTCCATCATGTCATAAAGGGTGAGAAGCAGAAGTGATACAGCAAAAACATAAATCAAAATAAATTATAGGAAGCATAAACACAGACATACCCAGAAAGATTGACCTTGGGTGATCCCCATACAAATGTTGATGGGAGAGTTCTTCTGAGTGGTGAACTTTTAGGGGATTTTAGCTTTATTATAATCCCTTTTTATATGACCTGAATTTTCTACAGCATGCATGAAATATCTCTGTAAACAAACTACATGCATAGATTGTAGTTAAGAGATGATACATATGTACAGCGCCCCCACACATGTGACAGCGTTCTTTTGGAAGGAATCGCAGCCATTATCCCCTTCTTCCTTAGAGTTATTCTTTCTCTATATACTATGGGAGATCCATATTTACTTAGTTAACTAGGAACAGCAGGTGTTCCACTGCAGTATCTTAGTCACTATGGTTGGTCAAGGATGTCTCGCCTTCCTCATTTACTAAGTCATCCCACAGACATTTACAGCCAGCCCACGATGCTCTAGTACTTGGTAGGTTCCAGGGACACAACAACAAATAAGATGTGCCCCCAATCCTCAAGAAATTCAAAGTCTAGCAGGGAACCTAGTTCTCAAAGGTAGTACTACCAAAGGTAGTACTGAGTTAGTTCATTGTAAGTGTCCTGAGTTAAAACCCTGAGCCTGGGTGCTAAGAGCCCCAAGTCCTAAATGTAATGGGTAACTTGAGTCTGTCTTTATCCTGCTTGTGATAGAAAATGTGTAAATGCGACCTAAGTCTGCTTTGGGGTCTGATGCCTGATGGCTTCATTTCTGCAGACAACATCTGCATGGGAAGATTGGGGGAAGTGGGAGTTTTGGGGTCAAAGGAATGGGGGCACCTTTGCCACTAGACAGGGAGAATTTTTACTTCAGCAAATGTCAGCATTTGGAGCTTACTGTCAAGGTAGAGACAGGGCCACATCTCTTCTCTGGATCATTCCTATGTAAAATACTCATGAGAGAAAGTGCCTGTACTCCTGCCCAGGGCCATAAGTACAGACAAGCTTTTGCGAGTATTTTTTTCAAGCCTCAGCTTATCAAGTAAATAATATACAAAATGAACTGACAAGGAAGACAAAAATATGGAACACCAAACTCTGAATTTTGAAATGATTAGAATGAATTAGACTTTAGTGAAAGATCACCGCAGTAAAACTTAACTTTCCAGTAATATGTTGTGGTGGAGAGTAATTCATAAAACTAAAAATTGAAGCAATAAAAATAATAAGCCGCTTATCAATATCTCAGAAGTATTTCTGTTTCCTAAGTAGGTCTTTTTTCAGTTCATTTTCAAAAGGTAATAATCAGAATAAATATATACATTTAAAAGCATTTTACATTTTCTGAGAGTCTCAGTATTTAAACTTTGAATTCATGAACCTTAGCACAATCTTATATTTACTTTTGCTTCTGAACTACATATTTAATTGAATTATGCACCCGTACACACTCTTCTTGGATAATATGGCAATTTTTACATGAGAGGGAGTTGCACGTGCATGTTCCCAGGGAAGAGTAATACATTCTGTTGGTTAGATAGAACAGGGAAAATTTATAATAGCCAGGGCAAGAACACTTCTGAGAATAGAAAGCTTTTCGTTTGTTTGTTTGTTTGTTTTTAAGTAAAGAAGCCTGGGTGCAGTGGCTCCCGCCTGTAATCCCAGCACCTTGGGAGGCCGAGGTGGGCGGATCACCTGAGGTTGGGAGTTCAAGACCAGCACGGCCAAGATGGTAAAACCCTGTCTCTACTAAAAATACAAAATTAGCCGGGTATGGTGTAATCCCAGCTACTTGGGAGGCTGAGGCAGGAGAATCACTTGAACCTGGGAGGCAGAGGTTGCAGTGAGCCGAGATCGCGCCACTGCACTCCAGCCTGGGCAACAAGAGCGAAACTCAGTCTTAAATAAATAAATAAATAAGTAAATAAATAAATAAATAAAAAGAAAAGTAAAAAGTGAGTCTACATATATTCTCATAATCATCTACACATGTCAAGCTCCTTGTAAGAGAACCTTGGAAAAAATGACGTTTAGCAGAAAAAGCTGTTCATTAAACACCCGATGCCTATGTATGTCAAATATATTTAGAAGTACATTTATCAAAATCGACAAACCTCTTTGGAAAAGAACCTTGGTCTAGTGGTTACAGCATACATGATTTTTCTTTTCTGGTGGCTCTATCTCATCAAAGTTTAGTTGAAAGTTTTCTGAAGAATGGACTTTATTTACAGAAAACGCTGAAAGGCTGAGAGGGGTCTAAAGGAGATGTGGCCACCTCAGGTGATACTCTTCACAGTTTTCCTGCAGGGAAAAACTGTCTTAAAGAGTCCATATGACTGATTTCTGTCATTCCTAGTGTATCATCATGATGAGACTTAGGATAGCATATTAAGAAATTCAGCCGTTGGGCACTTGAAATCATTTTACATTCAATCTTCTATTAAACCAGTTGTGGGTGTGTGGTTAAGGTAATCCCATCAACTCTAACAGCAAAGTCCCTGAATCTTAGTGTCTTAACACAGGTTTATTTATTGAACATGTAATTTCCAAAGCGGGTGTTCCTGAACAGCAAGTCGGTTCTCCAAGTGGCGATTCATAGATCAAACATCCTTCCATGTTATGGCTCTGCCATCGTCACCAGCTAGCCTTCAAGGTCTCTGGCTTGTTTGCATCAAGCTAAATGGGGAAAGAGCATGGAGAATCGTGGGCAGGGGATTTTCCTATCCAGGCCTAGAAAGCAGCCCATTTCATTTCACTTACTTCCAAGTGTTGAAACTCGGTTGTACATCACAACTAACTGTGAAGGAGCATGAGAAATTCTGTCTTGCTGCATGCCAAGGGGGAAAAAAAAAAAAGAAATGAGTTCAGTGATCAACTGACCAATCTCTTCTAAATCTACCTTCTGGTTTCCATATATCTGTTTCATTTTTCTTCTCACACATAGAACACACCTATAAACCACCCATGTGCCAAAGACAACCCCAAATCCCATTCTGCTTCTGTGTCTGATTCAACGAATAAGATCCTTCCAGTGATGTGCAGCCATCTGTCAGAACGAGATATGGCGCCTTGTGGTTTATCTATGAACAGAAGGACCAGTTAGTTACCCTCTCCTCACAACCCACACCTCATGCCCAGTGTTTGATCCCACAGTAGAGAAAGGTTAAGCACACTAATAAATTCCAATTAGGAAAAGTGAAGAATGGGAGGCAGACAGCATTCCCTGGACCAATGCAACTACAGATTCTTGCTGGGCAGGTGTCCTGAATGTGTCAACTTCAGAAATGGGGGAAATCTGTTGATTAGATCTTCACACACAGATGTATTCTTTTGTCTGTCCTTCTCTGTGGTCACAACATCGGAAGTGGGCATTGTGGTACATTCTCTCCTTGACGAGCTGCCTGACTTTCATTCTTTTTTCTTTTCCTTTTCTTTTTTTTCTTTCTATTTCTTTTCAACAGGATCTTGCTCTGTCTCCCAGGCTGAAGTGCAATGGTGCGATCACAGCTCACTGCACCCTTAAACTCCTGAGCTCAAGTGATTCTCCTGCCTCAGCCTTCTGGGTAGCTAGGACTACAAATGCATGCCCTACTAATTTTTTATTTTTGTAGAAACAGGTTCTCGCTGTATTGCCCAGGCTGGTCTTAAGCAGTCCTCCCACCTTGGCTTCCCAAAGTGCTAGGATCACAGGCATGAGTGGATCAGGCTGGCTACCCTACGTTCATTGCCCACTTCTCAGGCTGGTACAAATTGGCAGACCTAAGTGTTGTCTTAGAGTTCAAGAAGTCAACTGCTTTGGCAAAATCCAGGCTCAGGGATTTTCTGACAGCATAATTGTCTCAAGAACTTAGGAATTTCTGATGTTTGTTCTTTCAGTCAGCTCCCTATGTCAGCAATTATACCCAAACTTTCTATTAACTATACTTGTCAAATCTGCTTTCATTGCTTCTTTTGCCCAGTGCTTCTTTCTCAACATAATTATGGATATGTTGTGGCCTTGTGAAAGTACAAGCTTGAGTGGGAAGGTAACGTTTTTAAATGAGTCTTTGTTGCAGGGCTGAATCATTTCTTTCAACTGAAATATCTTTTTACTCCAAGATACTATTTGCTATTTGATATATATAAACAGTCTGGATTTTCTAACCCTACAAGGGGCTTGATCTCCAATCACTTCTAACTCAGCTAGAGAAGTAGCCAATTCTTTCCTAAGAACATCTTTATTTTTCGTTTATCTATTTTTATGGCAATAACATACCAACAGCAGCCAACTGTAACAAATACACACTGATTTTTTTAAAAAAGATTTTAATAGTTTTTGGGAAGCAGGTGGTTATTACATTTTATTACATTAATATGTTCTTTAGTTGTGATTTCTGAGATTTTGGTATACCCATTATACCTGAGCAGTATACACTGTACCCAAAATGCTGTCTTTTATCCTTCAATCCCACCTCCTCCCATGTCCCCAAAGTCCACTGTATTATTCTTATGCTTTTGTGTGCTCATAACTTAGCCCTTACTTATAAGTGAGAACATACAATATTTGGTTTTCCATTCTTGAGTTACTTCACTTAAAATAATGGCCTCTGACTCCATCCAATTTGCTGCAAAAGTCATTATTTCGTTCTGTTTTATGGCTGAGTAGTGTTCCACGGTGTACATATACCACATTTTCTGTATCCACTTTTTTTTTTTTTTTTGAGATGGAGTCTCACTCTATTGCCCAGGCTGAAGTGCAATGGCGTGATCTCGGCTCACTGCAACCTCCACGTCCTGGGCTCAGGAGATTCTCCTGCCTCAGCCACCCAATTAGATGGGATTGCAAGGGCCTGCCACCACACCTGGCTAATTTTTTTGTATTTTTAGTAGAGATGGGGTTTCACCATGTTGGTCAGGCTGCTCTCGAACTCCTGACCTTGTGATCTGCCCGCCTCGGCCTCCCAAAGTGCTGGGATTACAGGCATGAGCCACTGGGCCCGGCCTCCATTTGTTGATTGATGGGCATTTTAGGTTGTTTCCATATTTTTGCAATTGTGAATTATGCTGTTATAAATATGCATACAAACAGATATTCTAACTTTCCCTACCTACTTCTCCCAGAGTTAGAGGCTAATTGAAGATTTAGTTGGTCAATACATGTAGGAACATGTATTGCAGATGATAGACTTAACAAATGTTTTGTCTCCAAATAACACATCTCTATCTTACCAGCTTCTGATACGTATTTCCTAGCCGTGTACTCCATAACGACTAAGCCTATTGAAGGCTTTTATTAGAGCAACATTCCACTTCAAGATAATAATGTCCATGTTAGTTAATATACCTTAGCTACTTTAACAGATAAATCCTCAAATCATAATGATTTATTATGACAGAAGCATATTTCTTACTCATATAAAGTCTTAAACCTATGTCCCTAGTCAGTTCTCTTCCAGGTTGTGACTCAGGGGCTCAAGCTTTTTTCATCTTGTGGGTCCTTTCAACTTAAGTATGTAGCTCCCACAATCACCATTCTTGTTAGTGGAGTGCAACAGGCAAAAATAACTGGAGGTTGACACCTTGGAGGTTTTTTATAGAGAAGGACTAAACATTTCTGTTCACCTTACATTGGCTGGTACTCAGTCATGTGGCCCCATCTAACTGCACGGCAAGCTAGGCATATGCAGCCTATGCATCCAAGAAGATAGTTTCAGCTAGTCTCTACTACAACATACTTAGGCAAACCATCTAATCCTTGTTCCTAACTATCCCTTTGTAAGGTGAAGCAATGGATTACTTATCATGTAATTTAACAAGATTATTAGAAAAACTCTGCTGGTTTCTCAAACAGCACTGGACAAAGGTATTTTTAGAATGAGAAGCATGCTAATTGTGTAAGCATGGGACTTAGACAGATCTTGGCGCTGCTCTATATTTTGGATGTAATAAATGTAGCTAAGGCCAACAACCACCACCACAGCAAGCAACCAACAACTGCAGCCGAAATATTTCCTACATGATATTTCTTTGCCTTTATACCAGCAGTGGCAGGACTTATGAATAAAATCTGTTATAAATCAATAATATTTTGTAGAAATATTTGATAATGCAACTATTCTATACTTGTGTTTCTTTCAATGTGTAAATGATCATCTGATATTTTTGCATCACAACTGACATAAGGTTTATGTGTAACTTGTCTTTCTTTTATTTTCTGTGAATTTTAAAGACATAGTTTGACATGGATGAAGGTAACTAAACTCTTGCTTTGTATACAATGTCATGTTTGTATTCCAAAATGAGAGTCAATCTTAAAAATATTGTATCCGTAGGAATTATCTTTTTATTTGTTCCTTAACACAAATAAGTTTATTGAGCAATTAGTAGTAAGGAGTGGGCTGGGTACTTTGAGAGGCTTGAAGTGGAATCAGGCATAATCTGTCCTTAAAGAAGGGAAATAAGTAACTTACATCTATAGTATAATGTGGAAAGTGATTTTTCCATTAAAGAACTTTACAGAGAAAGAGAAAATTTCATTGAAGGGAAGATAATTCAACGAAGTGGGGCATATCCAGAGAAAATAGCATTTCACCTGGAATTTTGAAGAAAGCTTACATTTGCTTATTCATGTAAAGGGGTTAGAATGGTGTTAAGCATACAGTAAGCATTCGATAACTGTTAGCTGTAATGATGATGATAATGATGGTCATGGTGATGGAGGTGGTGGTGCTGGAGATAATGGTGATAGTGGTGCTGATAAGGGTGGAAGTGGTGGTAGTAATGATGGTGATAGCAGTGTTGGGGTGGTAATGGTGATGCTGATGGCAATGGCAGTATTGGTGATCAAATAAGTTGATTTGGCCATAAATTTTAGTACAGAATTTTGACACACCTTAGAATTCTCAGCCACTCTGAGAGATGTCATCGAGAAAGCCCACCACATAATTATTTTGAGTGTATTTTGAGCTATATCCCAGTTCCGAAATGTTTCATAATTATCCCAACCAGAAATGATGTTCCCTTCTCCGAATTCCTATAGATGTTTCCTTGAAATTATCTCAGAGTACTATATTTTTTTTTTACTTCCTTATGCTGTTTATATACCTGGAGAAATTTTGCATCCCTGCATTCTTCCATATTTTAACAAACTATCTGGCCTAGAAATTATAGAAATGAACTTAGATATTCCCTTTACATCACTTCACTTGATTTCAGAGCATTTTCGAGCTTCAGACTTTCTGATCCCTGTATTCTTGCTGTTAATCTTGCTACCCTTAATGTTGCTATTCTAGCTCTATACTGCCAAATGTTACCCCAGAAAGGATGATGCCTCTTCTCATTGTATCCTGAGAGTTACAGCCCCTCTTGCATCCTGAGTCCACAGCATGAAAAAACCTTCACAATCTCTCCTGTTCAGTGCTTTCTCTTTTAAAGAGCATCCATTCTACCCTAATTATCTATTAATCTTAAATACGAGAAGAAGTGGAGGGTTGGAAGAAGAGAATAGGAGAGATGCCTCTAACTTCCTAAATAAGTTTTGCTCCACTCTCTCAAAATCGTTTTCTATCAACAATGTGATATTCATCAACTGATTCATCCTTGTGCTGGTTGTAAATTTCCCATTGTTCAGTCTATTTAACATTAGTATGATGGCGCTCTCACTTCCTATGGCCTCGATAACTTCTATCTGAATGAATAGCCATCAGAACCTCTTTTGCCCCTCCATGCATGACACAGTATAAGACATCTATAAACAAGTGCTAATTATAAATCTACTTGCATTCTGTTATATAACCAGCATACTTTTAGAGCAAGAAGTGTAATGTTATTTGGTATTTTTAAAAGTTTTTATTGTTTCCTTTTGAAGAGGAGCTGTGTAGCTGTCTCATGACTCTTTGTCATCAAATGGACCTTGTTACCTTTTATTTACAGGTACAGGAACAATAGCTTTGTAACATCGTGTTCCATCGCACATTTCTAAGCCTCTTGCTTTATTCAGTGCTTGATAAATGAAAGGATATTTTTCTGCCTTCCCCTGCCCTGTGATACTTGTTAGTTACTCCGGCAACAGTAACATAACTTCAGTAAAGGTCTAAAGATGCCGTTTCAAATTCATACAATGGCTTGACATTTCAAAGTCATTTGGGAAAATATAAGCGTATGAATGGGGCTTATTCTTTCACAAATATGCAGACCAAGCTAAGAAACCAGTAAGTTGAAAATACTAAGGCTGTAGTCGAGGATGACATGGCACAAATCTCTGAATTCTCATCTTAATTTCTTTTATGTCCCTTGGATTCCTCTTTCTATAGAAGTGTCATTATGCATTTCTATTTGCCAGCCAATATTCAATATTTGTTGAAGTATTTTGTGAGTCTCTAGATTAACACTTTCCAGGACAAGTCTCTAAGATGCTTCTTCGTGCAAGAGTTCCTTGGTCAAATAATTGTGGGATATGCTGTATACTGTATCTTCATTTTGGGGATTCACCATCTACATCAGCATGTTTAAGGCTGTGAGAAGTTCTGTGGTAAGGTTCCTTTTTTTTTTAAGTTTCTTATCTCAGCATCCTGAGTATATTCGACAGTAAACTTCTCCCACCCTTCTTTCTTGCAAGCAATTCCAACTGCAATTTAGGTGGCACTTTGGTAAAATGTGCTCTAGATTAAGGATTCCCAAAGGTTTGGATATTGTGAACAAATAAATTTAAACAATATATTAGGAAACCGTCATAGAGTTGTTAACCTAACTTTGCCAAGTAAAGACATAAAAAGATAACTGTAAACTGATATCACCATAACATATTAAATGAAAGGACATTTTATCACCAAAACTAAAAAAGAATAGTAAAGGGCAGTAAAAAATAAATATTTAAAAATTAACCCTATTTAGCCTCATAAAAATTTTCAAAATATCATTTTTATATAAAATATAAAAACTCATAATGAATTGTATAAAAATTTTAATATATCATTTTTATATTTTTCATTTCATTTTGGACCAATGAGAATTTCATCATGAATATATAATAGAGACTTATTGTTTTTGCCTATGGAACTTTCCTCCCCCGCTCCCCCAGCCAGCTTTTTTTTAGATGGACTCTCGCTCTGTCACCCAGGCTGGAGTGCAGTGGGGCAATCTTGGCTCACTGCAACCTCCACCTCCTGGGTTCAAGAGATTCTCCTGCCTCAGCCTCCTGGGTAGGTGGGACCACAGGTGTGCACCATCACGCCCAGTTAATTTTTGTATTTTTAGTAGAGATGGGGTTTCACCATGTTGGCCAGGCTGGTCTCGAACTCCTGACCTCAAATGATCTGTCCAGCCTTCCAAAGTGCTGGGGTTGCAGGCGTGAGCTACCGCACCCAGCCCCCTTTTCTTTTTGATATAGCAGAACTTCCACTTTTCCGTAAGAAGAATTCATCAATACAATACTGCAAGTCCTAGCCAGAGCAGTCAGTCAAGAGAAAAAAAATAAAACGCATCCAAATTGGAAAAGAGGAAATCAAATTATCTCTGCTTGCTGACAATATGATCTTATACCTATAAAATCCTAAAGACTCCTCCAAAAGACTATTTGATTGTATCAATGAATTAAGTAAAGTTGCAGAACACAAAATCAACATGCAAAAATCAGTAGCATTTGTATACACAAATAATGATGAAGTTGAGAACCCATGAAGAAGTCAATCTGATTTACAATAACTACAAAATAAAATAAATAGGAATATATGTAACGAAGGACGTGAAAGATCTCTGAGAGGGAAATTACAAAACACTGATGAAAGAAATTGACACAAGTAAATGACACAAACAAATGAAAAACTATCCCATGCTC